>NC_000017.11:8369898-8521414 GCF_000001405.40 Homo sapiens | reverse complement strand
CTTACCTATATGGCATCTCCTGTCATTTGTTCCACAAAGCTTGTGCTGCTGCACTTTCACTGTGTCTTTTCTTTCCCTGCTAACGAGTGAGGTTTGGCTTATATTTGTTTTCTCCTTTCTTCTCCCCAGTGGACCGTATCGTGGGTCTGGATCAAGTCACTGGTATGACTGAGACAGCTTTTGGCTCCGCATATAAAACCAAGAAGGGCATGTTTCGTACCGTTGGGCAACTCTACAAAGAATCTCTCACCAAGCTGATGGCAACTCTCCGAAACACCAACCCTAACTTTGTTCGTTGTATCATTCCAAATCACGAGAAGAGGGTACGTGCTGAGCAAAACATATGCTAGTATTTAAAACTGATCTAGGTCAGATGCTAAAGATTAAACCATGAAACTATTGTTTGCTTGATTAGGCTGGAAAATTGGATCCACACCTAGTCCTAGATCAGCTTCGCTGTAACGGTGTCCTGGAAGGGATCCGAATCTGTCGCCAGGGCTTCCCTAACCGAATAGTTTTCCAGGAATTCAGACAGAGGTATTGCTAACTTTTACTTTTTTTGCTTATGTATCAGAGTTTATCTTGATATGAATTAAAACAGTGATAAAATAAGGAAATCTTTTTCCTTGTCCCCTACATAGTTTGTTTTCTTATATAGCAAACATATAGTGAGGTTCTGGAAAAGGGACAATCCTTACTACCTTGATTATTGGTAGGAAGATTGAGTGCCTACTTTATAAAAAGGGAGTGTGCTAGGAACTGCTATGGGCGCTGCAAAGAAACATGCCATGTTTTCAGGGCCCTGAAGTTAGCTTTGAGATAAACATAGAAAGCTGAAAGCTTACAGTTTACTCATTCAGACAGTTCTACCTGGGATTCAAACATAATTATTTTTATTTTTATTTATTTATTATTTTTGAGATGGAGTCTTCGCTCTGTCACCCAGGCTGGAGTACAGTGGAGCCATCTCGGCTCACTGCAACCTCCGCCTCCCAGGTTCAAGCGATTCTCCTGCCTCAGCCTCCTGAGTTGCTGGGACTACAGGCACGTGCCACCATGCCCAGCTAAATTTTTGTATTTTTAGTAGAGACGGGGTTTCACTGAGCTAGCCAGGATGGTCTCGATCTCCTGACCTCGTGATCCCGCCTCGGCCTCCCAAAGTGCTGGGATTACAGGCCTAACATAATTATTTTTAAAATTGATTTTTTAAATAGATGAGTAATGTATGTTCCTTTTAGGAAAATTGGAAAATACAAGAGAAGTAAAAAAGTAAATAAAAATCATCAAGGAGTGATTCCTAAAAACATGTTGGGGTACTTCTTTCCATCTTTTCTCAATGAATATATCTGTATGTGTGTGTGTATGTGTATGTATTTTTTCCAATGTATGTGTATACATGTGCACACACATGCGTGCAATTACAGTCTTTTAGCTAACATAGGGAAAGGAGTAGATAGAAAAGGATTAAGAAAAAACAAAAGGGAAAAGATCTATCAACTTGCAGTGGAAATGGATACAAACATATGTTGAGAGTTATTTTTAACTTTTATTTGGTAATTTTCTTGAATAGTTACTTTTAGTTTGCTTTTTTTCTTCTTTTTTCTGGAAATCAGATTTGAAAGTATGACACCATTTGCTGTTCCATGAAATAAATGGTGCTGCCAGGTCAAAGAATGGTCTTTGTGCCCTTTCTCCCACTGTTCCAGATAGAATCACCTTGAGAAGCTTTTCCAGTCCATGTGTGTCTTGAGGAAAGCCATCATTCTGATCCCATTGTATGATGAAGTCTGGTAGATTTTCATTTTTTATTGTTAGGAGAAAAAGGGAGTATAATTGGCATCCAAGATACAAAGTTGATTGATGTAGCCAGGATTCCTCCTTTAATATATAGCCAGTATCTTTTATTTTTCTGATTGAGGTATAGACTGTATACAGTGAGGTACACAGATTTTAAATGTGCAGCTCAGTGAACATATGTATGTGTATACACCCAGACCAACGTCATGTCACATGTCACCCTGATATTTTCTGATGTTTTGAATAGAAGCCTATGAACACAGCTCTTACAGCCCTTCCTGTTATCTAATAAATGCTACAAATTGACAGTGACTTAAAGTACAGAAAGCCAGATTCTCTTTTGCGTCTTAAGGATATGAACATTTTATGGGACATGAAGAAAAATGAAAGGTTTCTAAAACACCATGCTTTTGATTTTTCTCTGCCACAACCTCCTAAACCTACTTTTTGACCTGAAAGAACTAACCTCATTTTTACTTATGAGAAATAAAGTAGATCTACAGAAAACATCAGATTATCACCAGTTCATTTCTTGAACATGTATTACATCATATCTTTAACATGTATTACCCAACATTTTATTGCCTCTTAGAGCAAAACACACAGTTAGTAGATACACATCGTTCACAAATTTCTACAAAATACTTCTTGGAATATTCTCTTACAGATATGAGATCCTAACTCCAAATGCTATTCCTAAAGGTTTTATGGATGGTAAACAGGCCTGTGAACGAATGGTAAGGTTTTCTTGATCTTTTTCTGGCTTGTAGATTTAATCTAATCTTTCTTGTAGTTAAAAAAAGTAAATAAACTCTTTCTCTCTTAGATCCGGGCTTTAGAATTGGACCCAAACTTGTACAGAATTGGACAGAGCAAGATATTTTTCAGAGCTGGAGTTCTGGCACACTTAGAGGAAGAAAGAGATTTAAAAATCACCGATATCATTATCTTCTTCCAGGCCGTTTGCAGAGGTTACCTGGCCAGAAAGTGAGTGGGTATTCACGAATTAATCGTTCACTGAGGAAGTGCTTGTGCTAGATAAGCATTGCATTTTGACCTGGGGTGCAAGAGTGTGTGAGACATAGTCTGTCCTTACAGAAGTTGCTTTATAGTGGCAGAGATAGTCAGGTAAATACATGAACATTCTAAGTAATGGGATGTTGCAATACAAAAACACACAAGGAGGCTGGGCGTGGTGGCTCAGGCCTGTAATCCCAGCACTTTGGGAGGCTGAAGTGGGCAGATCACTTGAGCTCAGGAGTTCGAGACCAGCCAGGGCTTCATGGCAAAACCCCATCTCTACTAAAAATACAAAAATTAGCCAGGCTTGGTAGCATGCGCCTGTAGTCCCAGCTACCTGTGGGAGCTGAGGCGGGAGGATCTCTTGAACCCAGGAGGTCAAGGCTGCAATAAGCCAAGATGGTACCACTGCATGCCAGCCTGGGTGACAAAGTGAGACCCTATCTCAAACACACACACACACACACACACACACACACACACACACACACACGGGGCCAAGGGGTATGGGGTCCTGCCTCAGCTCAAGTCCTCAGAGAATGCTTCTCACACACACACACACACACACACACGGGGCCAAGGGGTATGGGGTCCTGCTTCAGCTCAAGTCCTCAGAGAATGCTTCTCTGAGGCTGAAACCTCAAGGGTAAGAAGGCTGGCCCTGTGAAGGGAGGAGAGAGAAGCTTTTCAGTAAGGGAACTACAGCAGCATCCTGGCAAGAGTCTGGCAGCATTTGAGAAGGTGACACAGTCCAGTGTGGCTGGAGCAGGATGGGTGAGAGGGAGCAAGGTGAGAGAAGAGGCTTGAGAATCAGACGCTGGACAGGGGTTAGGAGTGCAGTGAGGGGGAATCTATACTGTCAAGGCCGCCTGGCTGCGGTAGGCAGAATCCATTGAGAATTGGCCAAGAATAGAATTGGGAGGGCCAGTTGGGAAGCTGTCTTAGTGATTTGGGTAGAAGATGATGGTGCCTGGACCCAAGAAGGTGGTGGTGGAGAACGAGAGAAAAGTTGTTAAATTTGAGATAGAATTCAAAGGACTTAGAACTGATTTGGATTTAGAAGGTAATACTGGTATTTACTTCTTTCTACTGAACACTTCGGGTTTGGGAGTGAGAGAATTTGAGACAGGTTGAATAGTTTGCCATCCAGACAGTTTTGAGCAAACAGAATCTGAACACCTGGACTGGAAGTCAGCACTCTGTAATAATGTACTCTACATGTGGGTTGGAAAACAGCTCTGGTTCCTGGGCAGTCTGCTTGCCCAGATAGTGGTCAAGAGGGCTTTAAACGGAAGAAGGTAAAGGCAATACTTGTGGATTTTTGCCTATAAAATAGAATACAGAGTAAAAAGAGTAGCATGGAAAGTTGAAGACAAATAGATGATATCTTCGGGTTGATACTAAGAAACATTTGGCAAAAAGGAGTAAAAGAATTGGGTTTTTATTTTATTTTTTTTGAGACAGAGTCTCGCTCTGTCGCTGAGGCTGGAGTGCAGTGGCGCGACCTCGGCTCACTGCAAGCTCCGCCTCCTGGGTTCATGCCATTCTCCTCCCTCAGCCTCCCGAGTAGCTGGGACTACAGGCGCCCGCCACCACACCCGGCTAATTTTTTGTATTTTTTTTAGTAGAGATGGGGTTTCGCCGTGTTAGCCAGGATGGTCTCGATCTCCTGACCTTGTGATCCACCCGCCTCAGCCTCCCAAAGTGCTGGGATTACAGGCGTGAGCCACTGTGCCCGGCCGGGTTTTTATATACTAATATTTAGATACTATATAAATAATAAAGAGAACCTGTTGATAGCAGAGACTCTCCTCACTGTATCCACTGAACTGCAGAATGCCTAACATAGCATAAGGAGTGAGCAATGGCAGGTGCCAGGCTAACTTCATAGAGTTAGCAAAAAACTTGACATCTGCCAGAAACATGCTACAACTATCGAAAGTGCAGGAAACGAAGTATATAGATATACTTTGTGCAGCTTTTTCATTGATCTAAACCTTGCTTGCAAAATTTTCAAGATAGAAAGTTAAAAACAAAGATATTTCACTTGCATTATTTCATCTTAAGGACTTAAAGCTAACAAATCCATGTAATCTTATATGTAAGCCAGCATGCCTTTGCCTTTGCAGCCCCTGCCCCTCAATATTTTATTCACACTATGCATATGGTAGGCTGGAACTTAAAATCAGGATACATCAAAAAAAGAAGATAACCTATTCAAAAGAACCAGATTGTACTGTGGAAAAAGGCAGAATAGTGCTTACAATAGTCAAAATAATAGGTATCTTTACAGAAATCCATGAACTTGAGCTTGAAGCACCCTGGAGGACATTGGGATAAGGATAAAAAGGGGGAAGGAGCTAAAGTGATTTTGAACACTTTTGAAGTCCACTTTCCAAACACTCGGAGATAGGTTGATGTCACAGCTCCCTCATGAAAACCTGGAGGACAGTGCCTGACACACAGGTGTAATAGAAATCAGCCGACCACTGCGGAGAAGGAAACCAGCTGCCTCATTCCACTAAACAAAGTGCCCGGCATGTTTCTGACTCATCATTTGACAGTTTTATCTCCCAGAGGGCCAAAGAAGCAACTAGGGCAGTAGTTTTTAATAAGAAGATTGGGTGAATTTGTACAGCATTCCTGAAGGAGATTGCAAGAATTGGAAGGTGGATGCTTAATAGATTCAAAAGTCATTTTTGAAACTTTTGTTTTTGTAGTAGAAACTCTTGGAATTAAGACTTGGCCAATCCCGGCCAGGCACGGTGGCTCACACCTGTAATTCCAGCACTTGTGGAGGCCGAGGCGGGGGGATCACTTGAGGTCAGGAGTTCAAGACCAGCCTGGCCAACATGGTGAAACCCTGTCTCTACTAAAAATACAAAAAATTAGCAAGGCATGGTGGTGCACACCTGTAGTCCCAGCTTCTCGGGAGGCTGAGGCATGAGAATCGCTTGAGCCCAAGAGGCAGAGGTTTCAGTGAGCCAAGATTGCACCACTGCACTCCAGCCTGGGCGACAGAGCAAGACTCTGTCTCAAAAAAAAAAAAAAAAAAAAAAAAAAAGACTTGGCTAATTCTTTTTGGCTGGTAGGAATAAGTTAGAAGGTTTTGTAAGGAGCAAGAATAAAATCAGTTATGAAGCAGTGGGTTCAGGGAAAATTCTAACCAGCAAGGAGGAATTCGTTGGCAGTATAGCAGTTGTGGGATTCTTGCAAGGAAATGTGACAGGTAGGTAATTTTTGCTCTAAAACAGCAACTGTCTGTCTTTTCTTAAGACACTCCCACTCCTGATACCGCTGTTTGCTGGAGTGAATGAATAATTCAAAATGTTTTTCTTATTTTTTCCATCGCCTTCAATTGCTTCTCTTTCCCAGGAGAGTCCTATAGCTACTCCTGCAAGCCGTTATAAAAGGACTCCAGAGAAACAATTACAGATTATTTCTAGGAAATACCCAGTTAATTTACTCAACAAACATCCTCAGGAGGCCTGGAGTCTGTCGGTCACTTGGTTGTGCCAACAAAAATGCCTGGGCCATGATCCCTGCTCCTGAGGAACTCAGAGTCTAGGTGGGAGCGCAGCCGTGTGAGTGGACTGTCGGAGTGGAGCATCAGCACTGTTAGCGGGGCCCAGGAGACTCGGAGGCCGTTCTGGTGCTCTGGAATGCAGGGATGAGATGTCCAGTAGTGGGTAGTCCCCAGAGGAGTGCAGCGTGCCAGGCACTTGGATTTGGCTGAGGAAAAGCCGCTAAGTTCTGAGTCTGGGAGTCCTTTGTCAAGATCTAAAATGCAGCTTCGGTAGCGTGGTGGGATAGAAAGCCGACTGCTGGAAGCCAGGAAGTCAGTAATAGGAACGTTTGCCTGTGGACCCTGAGAGTTTCATAAGGAGTAGAAAAATGTCAGTTGTCTGTCGAAGGAACCGCAAGGTAATGAGCTTCATTTGGGCCTGGGGGTTGTTTTTGGCAGGAGGGGGGTTGAGGGTTTCTGTGTTCCTGAAGGAGAGTGAGAAATTGAAAAATAGTAGAGTGAAGGCGAATGGGAACTGGGTCTCAGACCCTGCTGTGGGGCTGAGGAGGTGACAGGGTGTAGTGGGAAGCCCAGGTATGGTCACAAGGAGGTGAGGGCTCCACAGATCTAGAGTCATCTCCAGGCCCTGGAGGAGGCCGGGCCGTAAATGAGAGACATTGACAACCCCATTGTAGCTTTTGAGTGCTGCGCTCCATTGCGGCAAAGTGGAGGGAAGGAGGAGAAAAATTACCTTGGGGGTTGGGGAGAAATGTTTCTTCTGTGACATATCAAAAGGAAAACGAGAGTAGCTCCTAAAGGCACGATAAAGAGAGCAGCACAGAGAAAACGGGCCCTTCTGTCTACAGTCTTCATTGCCTCAGGAAAATCGGTTTCTTAGTGTGCGCAGTGTGGGTATATGGCTGAGTGGCAGCAGGAGAATGTGCAGGGCAGCGTCCCTGAAGAAAGTCAGTGCAGGAACTGGTGCCAGGGGCCTGAGGTGGGCTGAGCAGGCCAACAAGCCAGTGTGGCTTCGAGCGGCCAGAACGGCTTCCTTGTGCGTCTCACCCAGGACTTGATTGATGCAATCATTCCCTATCCTAGACAAAGAAGAACACGGGCCTTTAGAAAGGCTTCTTATGACAACAGCCATTCAAGCACTTTTTTCTTTACATCATAAGTTTTTCTTATTGTTCTTCAGGGCCTTTGCCAAGAAGCAGCAGCAACTAAGTGCCTTAAAGGTCTTGCAGCGGAACTGTGCCGCGTACCTGAAATTACGGCACTGGCAGTGGTGGCGAGTCTTCACAAAGGTGAGCTTGGCTCACTTCTTTCCAGATCCCTTTCAAATAGCAGAGTCTGATCAGGAAAAACCCATAGGAAAGAGCTGGAATGATAAAAAAAAAAAAACTGCTTAATTTTGTCATAGGTGAAGCCGCTTCTACAAGTGACTCGCCAGGAGGAAGAACTTCAGGCCAAAGATGAAGAGCTGTTGAAGGTGAAGGAGAAGCAGACGAAGGTGGAAGGAGAGCTGGAGGAGATGGAGCGGAAGCACCAGCAGGTGTGTGCAGTGACCTTGTAACTCACACTTGGCCCTGAATCCCTATGAGATCTTGCACTGGTAGCAACCCCGACACATTTCATTATGAATAGCTGTACCCACCATATCATCTTATTTTATGGGAGGCCTTTTCACTCATTTCCAAATTGTATATATTTTGCCAATAGAGTTAACAGATACATTCTGCCTTGCATTTTAGATTTGTAGAAGTTAAAATCAACCTTACCTCTTGCATCTTTGCTTTTGTTATTCTTGGTGTCAAGCATGTACTTAACACCTGTTTTCGATGAGGTTCCCGGTACTGTCACCTTCCTATGTCTGTTTATGAGGGGAAATAGAAAAATGGTCAAAGGACGAGATGCTTGAGTAGAGGTCACCACCTGAACTTCTCTAGCAGCAGTGGTCTTGAATGTGTGTCCCTCTTCTGGGAAGTTTTCTTCATGGACAAAGCTGAGGCTCAGGAGATGTTTGTTGTGGCAATAATAGAATTATAGTGTTCAAGGCCAAAAATATTAACAATAAAGGCCAAGGATATCACTTACTACCAAACAGGCATTAGTAATCACCATGAACTTTATGGCATTTGAATAATATTTTCACTCTCCTATTTATCTGTCCCTTGTAAATTACCTTCATAGATGAACTATCATGAATTTAATATGTATTATTCACAGTAACTTGAGACAACAGGAACAACCAAAATATTTTCATCTTGCTTATTTTGCTATAGACAAAAACGTATTTGAAAGTTCTTCCCGTGATGTTATATATTTTTATCTCCCAGTTTCTTTGATGTGCATTGACCATTGAAATCACGGCGAATATATACTGTGTACGTATGTAATAGGGGCAAATCACAGACACTTTATTGTGATTGCAGCTTTTAGAAGAGAAGAATATCCTTGCAGAACAACTACAAGCAGAGACTGAGCTCTTTGCTGAAGCAGAAGAGATGAGGGCAAGACTTGCTGCTAAAAAGCAGGAATTAGAAGAGATTCTACATGACTTGGAGTCTAGGGTTGAAGAAGAAGAAGAAAGAAACCAAATCCTCCAAAATGAAAAGAAAAAAATGCAAGCACATATTCAGGTATGTATAATAATTTTTACTTAGAAGCATATTTTGGATTTTCAAGTGGATCTGTTGAATAAACAGAAGTTATGTGTTTGGATTCTTAAGTCCACAGAGAAGCAAAAGGGTTCTGGGTTATGAGAAGCCACTCTTAGAAAGATGACCATCATTTGAAACACACCTATAATAGATTTTCTTTGAACAAAGATTTGTCATTTTGTATAGGAATCTTTTTTATGTTCTAAGTGGCATCTTACAGTTTGCAAAGAGATTCACAGTCGCAAACCTCCCAGGATCTATAGCATTCTGTAGAAGACCTAACTTGTTCTTCATGTTGTCAGTGATTCTGTTGCTCACTCCATTCATTAGATAGACATCTACTACGTGGTTTGGCTAATAAGAAACGCTCAGCACTGACATAGGAGGTGGCCAACAGTCAGAATGAGAATTTTTAAAAATTAGCCCTTCCCTGGTACTTAACTTTCTTTTTGAAATACAGGCTGTACTCATGAGGCACAATTTTTGGATTGTGATTGAAACAGACAAATGTGCTTTTTAAATGGTCTTTATATTTTAGAGGTACAGCCTGAAGGTTTTACAAGTGAAATATGATGTCTGGGATTTGCTTCAAAATAACCTAGGGGGAGAAGGGAGCAGGTGGAGGCACACATGAAATGGAATTGACCATGAGTTGATGCTTGTTAAGGTCAAGGTGATGCTTCTGTGTGGGGCTTATTATGCTGGTCTGTGTGCTTGTATGTGTGTTTGAAATTTTTACAAGAAAACACTCATTTTTTGCCATGGTTTCATTCTAAAATTAACGATGAGTAAATTATTTAGCCGAAGTTACTCTTGAACATTTCCTTAAGTTGGCCATGTGTTGATTTGTACAACCCTAGTTTTGGTTTTTTGGGGTTTGTTTTTGTTTTTGTTTTTTTGTTCTGTTTTTGAGACGGAGTCTCGCTTTGTTGCCCAGGCTGGAGTGCAATGGCGCAATCTCGGCTCACTGCAACCTCCACCTCCTCGGTTCAAGTGATTCCCTTGCCTCAGCCTCCCCAGTAGCTGGGATTACAGGCGCCTGCTACCACGCCCAGCTAATTTTTGTATTTTTAGTAGAGACGAGGTTTCACCACGTTGGCCAGGCTGGTCTCGAACTCTTGACCTCAGGTGATCCACCCACCTCGGCCTCCCAAAGTGCTAGGACTACAGGCGTGAGCCACTGCGCCCAGCCTGGGTTTTGTTTTGTTTAACTTTTTTTTTAATTTCGTTTTTTGGAGGGGATGGGAGCTTTCCACCAGAAACCAGAAATCCTGCTAGACAAATTCTAAAAGAGCTGTAACACTTTGTTTTTAATTTTAATTTTTATGCGTATATATTAAGTGTGTGTGTGTGTATGTATGTATGTGTGTATATATATATATATATATATATATATATATATATATATATATATGGGGTACATGAGATGTTTTGATACAGGCATGTAGTGTGTAATAATCACCTCATATAAAATGGGGTAATCTATCTGTGATCCTGTGTAATAGCATGTTTATCATAAACAGTAATGTAGATTATAAAGATCTGCACGTTCTAATAAAAATACATGTAAACTCTATGCTCCCGCCCAGTTTGATGAGGTGCTTCTGCTGTGAAAGGTACACTTGAACTGAGACAGCTCATTTCTCACGACCTGTACTATTTAAATTATTGTTTTCATGTTCTCTTTCTCTCTTCTTTGGCCGAACATGTATATAGTTGGATTCAGCTAAATTAAATACACATTTGATGAGTGCTACTACATTATTCATGTTTGTCTGTGTTGCTATTATTCCAAAATGTGAATTTTAATTACTATATATTATTCCATTTAACAAATGTGCCAACATTTAATTACCAAGACCTTTTTGTAGCATGTTCATAGTTACTCAATATTATAAATAACTTATCACTGTATGTCTTTTTATATAAATTGCATCTGTGACAATTTCCTGAAATTGCTGGTTGAAAGGAAAGGCTCATTTTTAAAGCTATGTTTTGCCATGTTGGCTTCTAGAAGGATTGACCCAGTTTGTACTTTAGCCTGTAGCGGATACAAATGTCTATTTCACATAACTGCATTTCATATTTTTTTAAATATCCTTGGCATTTTGAGAATCAAAAATTAGTATCTAGGCTGAGGCGGATGGATCATGAGGTCAGGAGATCAAGACCATCCTGGCTAACATGGTGAAACCCCATCTCTACCAAAAAAAAAATCAAAAAATTAGCCGGGCGTGGTGGCGGGCACCTGTAGTCCCAGCTACTCGGGAGGCTGAGGCAGGAGAATGGCGTGAACCCAGGAGGTGGAGGTTGCAGCGAGCCGAGGTGGCACCACTGCACTTCAGCCTGGGCAACAGAGCGAGACTCCGTGTCAAAAAAAAAAAAAAAATTAGTATCTCATTGTAATGCATTCCTGTGCACAATGAATGTGTGGTCAAATCTCGAGAAAGTGGCGAGACTGACTGTGTGTTCTTCACAAGGACCTGGAAGAACAGCTAGACGAGGAGGAAGGGGCTCGGCAAAAGCTGCAGCTGGAAAAGGTGACAGCAGAGGCCAAGATCAAGAAGATGGAAGAGGAGATTCTGCTTCTCGAGGACCAAAATTCCAAGTTCATCAAAGTAAGAGAGTGTTCCCACAAAAAGCTGATTTTAGTTACAGAAAATATTTATATAATATTATGTTGATACACTCATTGAAAGTGAACTCAAACAGAAATTTCTCAAGATTTTAGGTTCATTTACTGAATTTTCTCTGTAAGTCTCTACTTGTATAGATTTCTAAAGATACAGGCACCATTGAATTTTTTAAACCTTATCAAATATCCTGATAATCTTTTAGACTTGTAACATGTGCAGTTTGTGCATAATGGTCACTCAATGATGACTTGTCTCCATCTGTGCAAGCATTAATTCATCCACCATTGACTGTGGGACTCTGAATACCAGGCAGCTGGGCCAAGCTCCCGGGGTGGGCACCAAGACGTGTAAGCCTTTCTGCCCTTTTGGAGTACAGTCGTGTGTTGTTTAACGATGAGGACACATTCTGGGAAATGCATTGTGAAGTTATTTTATCCTCGTACAAACATCATAGAGTGTATGGACACAAACTAGATGGTAGAGCCTGCTATACACCTAGACCAGACGCTGGGCTGATTGCATCTAGGCCACACACTTGTACAGCATGTTACTGTCCTGAATACTGTAGGCAGTTGGAACACAGTGCTAATAAGTACTTGTGTATCTAAACATATCCACACAAAAGTCCAGTAAAAATATGATAGAAAAGGTACGGTAAAAATGATAGAAAAGATTTAAAATGGCACACCTCTATTGGGCACTCACCATGAACGGAGCTTGCAGGACTGGAAGCTGCTCTGGGTGAGTCAGTGAGTGAGCGCTGAGTGAATGTGAAGGCCTAGGACATTGCTGTACATGACTGCAGACTTTATCAACATGGCACACTGAGGCTGCAGTACATTTATTTTAAAAATAGAGTAATTGCACTGTGGTGTTATGACAGCTCTCGATGAAGTTTTCAGCTCCATGATCATCTTAGGAGACCACTGTCGTGTATCCGGTTCATCATTGTCCAAAACATCGTTCTGCAGCATGTGATTGTGTACAGTCTGCTGGGGGAGGCAGTGCCGATAGAACTTATTTTCTCTCGAGTCAAAGTTGACCTTTATGAGGAATACAGAACCCAAGTGGTCATTCTGAATGGCTTTTCTGAAGCAGTCAATTTTTCCTGTCCAGGAAAAGAAACTCATGGAAGATCGCATTGCTGAGTGTTCCTCTCAGCTGGCTGAAGAGGAAGAAAAGGCGAAAAACTTGGCCAAAATCAGGAATAAGCAAGAAGTGATGATCTCAGATTTAGAAGGTTAGTATTTGGGGCTAGAGAAATCAGGGACTAGGACATGTGAGTGTTTAGCTTTTACTGTAATCAGAACATGCAAAAATAAAAAATATACATGATGATTACTAATAATAAGGACCTTCAGTTTGGGTTGACTTATTAAAATAGGTCCCTTGGCTGGGCACGGTGTCTCAGGCCTGTAATCCTAGCACTTTGGGAGGCTGAGGCAGGAGGATCTCATGAGGCCAGGAGTTTAAGACCAGCCTGGGCAGCATAGTGAGACTCCATCTCTACAAAAAATTTACAAATTAGCCTGGCGTAGTGGTGCACATCTATAGTCCCAGCTACTTGGAAGCTGAGGCAGAAGGATTGCTTGCGCCCAGGAGCTCACCAGAGTGAGCTGTGATCGTGGGGTGACAGAGGCAGCAGAATTGCTTGTGCCCAGGAGCTCACTGTAGTGAGCTATGATCATGCAACCGCACTACAGCCTGGGTAACACAGCGAGACCCTGTATTTAAAACATAATAAAAAGGGCTCTTAAGATTATTTTGTGTTGCCTTGAAATGATGATAAAATGGTTTTCCTTTTTCTTTTTCTTTTTTTTTAAGATGGAGTTTCACTCTTGTTGCCCAGGCTGGAGTGCAGTGGCGCAATCTTGGCTCACTGCAACCTCCATCTCCCGCGTTCAAGCAATTCTCTTGCCTCAGCCTCCCAAGTAGCGGGGATTACAGGCATGCACCAACCACACCTGGCTAATTTTGTATTTTTAGTAGAGATGGGGTTTCACCATGTTGGTCAGGCTGGTCTCAAACTCCTGACCTTAGGTGATCCACCCACCTTGGCCTCCCAGAGTGCTGGGATTACAGGCGTGAGCCATGGCGCCAGGCCTGGTTTTCCTTTTTTAACTTTGGTACTGTGGTAAAAGATACTGTTCTTTGGTGGGCATGGTTGGGGTTATATTGTTTGGGTCCTACAGACCATTGTGTTTAATCTAAAGCTGTATTAAAGTGCCCACAAAGTACCTCACAAAGGGACTGGCCAGTGACATAAAAGCTGGCAGATACAGAGAAGACACTACTGAGGGCCAAGCCACAGTGTAATATCAGGAAATCCTAGGACATTACAGCTTCTGCAAAAGCAATAAGAAAAGAGGATGGAAGTTGGAAAGAGCAGCTAGAGACTGGTACCATCACCAGGGGGAGGGAGCTCTGTGCAGGCGCCTGCAGGCAGGTGCCCACTCTTGGTTAATGTGTGCGTTTATGATAGGAAGACGATGGGGTTGGCTTTTAAAAAATATTTGGGGTTTTATTTGTTTGTTTGTTTTAGTATAAACAAAAGAGGGCATGTCAGTATGAAATTACTTTCATAAACCATTTGTACTAGTATATGGTTCTTCTGCTGAGGAAGTACCCATAAGCACATGTGCTTTTTTACTCACCTGTTTGATCAGCCTGTGACACTCGGTCTCATCCTCTCAGCAAATTGGTTCCTGGTGGAGAACACAAAGGCATACAGGTTGTTGTGAGGAAATAAATCATTCAGTGAAATAGATCACTAGGGCTAACTGAGAGATCACTGCAGAATTTTAGAGGGGAGGGTGGAGAAAAGGCCTGGCCCTCTCTGCCCACTCTTCTGTCTCCTCTCTCCCAGTACTCGAGGATGGCAGTTTTCTTGGTTCAGAACAGGGGTTCCCATGGAAAAGGGAATGGGGTGACAGGCAGCTACGATTGCTGCCCCAGCACCTGCTGAGCCACTTTGCAAACCTGGGTACAGTGATGTGTTTGACATGAGAGGATTCCAGCTCCCTTCGGCTCTCACAGTGTGGTCTCACCTCCCATGAAAGGACATTCTTAGGACACTCAACTTCTTCCTTAAAATTCCCTCCCCACACTAATTTATCTCCCCTCCAGATCTCGGTGGGTTTGAAATGACTGAGCAGTTGACATCAGCGCATGACCATGTCATCAGGGCAGTGACATGCTTTTGAATAAAATGGCTTATTTTCAACTTGGATCAGTCTGTATTTTAGTTTATTCCTGTGGTGAGTCACTCGGTGTGTTGAAGAGCTTCTTATGTCTTACCTTAAAGAACGCTTAAAGAAGGAAGAAAAGACTCGTCAGGAACTGGAAAAGGCCAAAAGAAAACTCGACGGGGAGACGACCGACCTGCAGGACCAGATCGCAGAGCTGCAGGCGCAGATTGATGAGCTCAAGCTGCAGCTGGCCAAGAAGGAGGAGGAGCTGCAGGGCGCACTGGCCAGGTCTGCAGCCCAGCAGCTGCGCTGCACGGGAGCCCATGGGGCTGAGTTTCAGCAGACTTTGTTATGTTCGGGAGCATTCAAAAACCCTGGGAGAGTGAGATGGGGTTTGCTTGCTGTTTGGTGTGACCTGAGAAAGTGAAAAGCCCAGGCGTACAGAATTTGTGTCAGGACAGCAAGAAAGTCTCATAAACCATCTCAATATTTATACTTTAAAATGACAAATTATATTATGAAACCCTTGGAAATTCACACCAGAACAAATTATTTCACTATAACAAATGTTTTGGTCTCTGTACATTACAGATTAACTGTAGTATGTTTTATTTATTTTTTTTTTTTGAATGGAGTCTCACTCTGTCACCCAGGCTGGAGTGCAGTGGTGCAATCTCAGCTCACTGCAAACTCCACTTCCTGGGTTCAAGCAATTCTCGTGCCTCAGCCTCCCGACTAGCTGGGATTACACGTGTGCACCACCACACTGGCTAATTTTTGTATTTTTAGTAGAGATGGGGTTCCACCATGTTGGTCAGGCTGGTCCCAAACTCCTGACCCCAAGTGATCCACCTGACTTGGCCTCCCAAAGTGCTGGGATTACAGGCGTGAGCCACCTCACCCAGCCTGTAGTATGTTTTAGAACTTGAAGGGAAATCACTTTTCAAAAATTATATTTCTCCACTGAGAGCATGATTCAATAATCAGTTCTAAACCATTCAGTTTAGAATGCAAATCAGATGTAATAAATATATGTCTAATGTTTCATTTCTTTATAAAGAATAACTATTTGGCTACATGGTTGTAATACTTGGAGTTTATAATGTGTTACAATCAAAATCTTTCAAGAAAAATCTCCCTTACCTCAAACATCCCAACTATTCCCAATCAGAAAAATCTTCCAACATTTTAAACCACAGACATAAACAAAAAGATGCCCTATGGAAGAGAGGCACCTGGAGGGTATGAGGATGAGAGCCTCTTTCTTCTACTGTGTTCTTTGAGCATCCCTGGTTTGGCTGGGTTCCGGTGTGATGAGGAGGTCACTCCTTCATAGTTAGAAGCAGATTTTTAACTATAACAGCCTTTGACTTCAGAGAAAATGTTTTCATATTCTAAGGGCTAAAGTAAGAGTGTCCTACCTTTTAATGGAGAAGCATGGTCGTTTGGAAAGGGGGCTGGGGCTGGAATCTAGTTCTGGCTCTGCCACCATTAGCTTTGGGGCCTTCAGCAAGGCCTCTACCTGAGAACCTCCTCCTGCCCTAGCAGGTGCTGAGCATCTGCACCAGCCTCAGGCCCCAGGAGGAGGGATGTGGGGCTGGGGTCTCGTGGAGAGGTGCTCAGGGGCTGGGGCTCGCCTGAGAAACAGGCCATCCGGGTGCCATCTCTGAGTGCCTCTTGCGCCTGGGTGTTTTAACAGAGGTGATGATGAAACACTCCATAAGAACAATGCCCTTAAAGTTGTGCGAGAGCTACAAGCCCAAATTGCTGAACTTCAGGAAGACTTTGAATCCGAGAAGGCTTCACGGAACAAGGCCGAAAAGCAGAAAAGGGACTTGAGTGAGGAACTGGAAGCTCTGAAAACAGAGCTGGAGGACACGCTGGACACCACGGCAGCCCAGCAGGAACTACGGTGAGTGTGGGAGAGGAAGCAGGGCCCGGGCGCCTGCCGACCTCTCCACCGAGCCCGTGCAGAAATGCCTGGTGTGCTTGCTATCTTTGGGAGGTGGTGTGCTTTTCCTTGTGATGGCAGGTGGAACGGTGATTAAATGGTAATGGTTAGAAACAGACCAGCCTATGGGTAGAAATACCTGTGCAGGGGTGGGTGGGTAAACCAGCAGACTGAGGGACACAGAGGGAGATGGATGTGATCGGAAAAGCTGTGGTCAGTGATGGATATCTAGGGGGAGAGAGTGACAACTACACAGAGCAGGGGGCAGTGAAAAGAGATTTAGATAGATAGGACCAGAGGGAGAAGGGTAAACACAGGAATAGGAGGAGATACCCAGGAGGCCAGGCACACATGCTGGCAGTGCTAGGTGGTGTGAACGGTGTAGGTAACCAGCTGAAAAGGGAAGGGTGCCTTCACAAGGGTGAGAAGAAGGCTGGTGCACGCACTGGGACAGAGTGTGCAGTGGGCAGAGGCATATGCAGCATCATGAGCCAGCAGCCAGGGCGGGCATGAAAAAAGTGACGAGCATAGGTGAACATGGCCAGAGAAGGCTCCTGGGTAGAAAGCTGCAGTGTGGCAGCCCACGAGTCGCAGGAGAGCCTTAGCAGTGAGCCGGTACGCAGGCCTGGAGGTGCTGGCCTGCGGCTCCCACGGACTCATAGGTGTCATCACTGTGGAGAGCAGCATGGGGGGTGTGCCAGCTTGCTGTCCTGGCAGAGGCCATCTGCTCCCTCCCAGACTCACACTGCCAAGTGCCTCAGGGCCACCCCAGGAGTCCTAGCCAGAAGGGAACCCTCGTGCCTTGGCTGGCTGCAGGCACACCTGCTGGCTCTTCCAGGGTATGAATGATGGAAAGGATAGCCCATCACCCTGGGGAGTTGCTGAGGCCTGGAATAAAGCAAGAAGGAGAGAGGGAATTGTTTATGAATGCAAGTGTGGCCAGAGAGGCAGAAAATGACCCAGAGCAACCAGGAGGGAAACAGGTTGTGGTGAAAACCAGTGCGTTTCCCCAGAGGACAAGGATGTCATCAGCTGGGTCCACCCAGCAGCTGGAAACCTGGGCACTTGGTCGTGGAAAGAATGACATCATGGTGTCCACAGGGCAGGCCGGCTCGATAGAGCAGTGAGACTGAGGTCAGATGGTGGGTGTGGGGAGGCTCTCCGTGCTGGAGAACAGAGGGGTGAGCCTTGGAATGTTTGCCATGATCCTAGCCATGAATATGTACAGCTATGGCAGCCGGACAGAGGTTGGTTGGTTTTTGTCTTCAGCTTTTACCCAGAGAGAGGAAAAACCCCATCTGAGCCAGGCATGGTTCGAGGCTTCCTACCCCACTTTTTTATTTTATTTTATTTTTTATTTTATATTTTTTTGAGACGGAGTTTCGCTCTTGTTGCCCAGGCCGGAGCACGATGGTGCGATCTCGGCTCACTGCAACCTCCGCCTCCCGGGTTCAAACGATTTTCCTGCCTCAGCCTCCCGAGTAGCTGGGATTACAGGCATGTGCCACCACGCCCGGCTAATTTTGTATTTTTTGGTAGAGATGGGGTTTCTCCATGTTAGTCAGGCTGGTCGCAAACTCCCGACCTCAGGTGATCCGCCCGCCTTGGCCTCCCAAAGTGCTGGGATTACAGGCGTGAGCCACCGCGCCCAGCCCTTACCCCACTTCAGCAGAGTAACTGCTTTTAGTAGTTTAAGTCCTGGGCTTCTCTTTGACATATCTGCTTTTTTAAAATCTAGAAACCACTGAACTAGACTTGGCTGAACTCTCCACTCCCAGCTGGGCTTTTGACTGCAATAGAAAATAAGGTTCTGATCATTTTTCCATCCAACCCTTGCAAAAAACTAAATGCGCATATTTATTAAAACCATGCCTGTGCTCAGCTGTAGCACTCACTGATTCCGTTTTGCCTGCAGCTCAGACATGTCCTCCATTCTTGCTAAGGACCCTTAGAGAACACAAACCACCCCACCTGGGCCCTGGTTCTTCCCATGATTAGTATAAAGTAACAGTGAGTCTTCTGCAGACTCACTGGCATTTTCACTCTCTTAAGGACTTTTGATGAAAAACTGAAAGAAATGGGGTTGTTCAGCCTGGAGAAGAGAAGATGAAGGTTTCCTTTGACCACTGGATTTAAGTAGGGATGAGGAACACACACACACACACACACACACAACTATTTTCCCAAAAGACAACGTGCTGCTAGTAGGAGAGATTTCCCTGTAGTGAGCTGAAACAATCTCGATGGGAGCCTTGCAGAGGACAGGACCAGACCAGCACGTCTTTGACCTCTGGCTGAGCCAGTGGAACTTGGGGCTGAGCTAGGCTGGACCACAAAGAATCCTTAGTGATTCCTTCTGGCTGGGCTACATGCGACCATGGAGCTGGCAGCCACCAGGCCCTGTTCTCTTGGCACAGGGATCTCTCAGCCAGCCCCTGCAGATCTCGTGACTCCATGAGAAGAGAGGAAAAGAGAGGTGAAGAGAGGGATGATGTGTCCACACGGGAATCAGTGTGTAAATCACTGTTCTAAGTTGTGACATGTTATAAAGTATAGAGCAAGTTTGCTAGCAGTGTGCTTCAGGATTAGTGTGAGGTTGTAGCTAATTCAACAGTGCTAATATAGGTCTTAGCAGGAGTGCTGTTTACCTGACTGGCTTCAGTCTTCATCAAGCTCGTGCTTAAACACGGTGCTCAGATTAACAAATTTAGAGGGACTCGCCATGAGAAGTAAGATCTCTTTTAGACAGTGAATAACTCTGGTTATTCAAGTTACCCTGTATTTGTTACAGCCAATTTTAAAAATATTAGAAAGCCATGGAAAGATATTTAATGCTAATGTGATCTTCATACCGTAAAGTGCAGGTTAGATAAAACCACAGTTTATGTCAGAACATTCCAATTCTCTGGCCATAGACCTGCTGTGTTCTCATATCAAACATCAGAGACCCTTTCTGAACCCTTTGAGCTGCCTTTTAATTTTCCTGCCCCTCCAAAAGATAATGCCCTCCTCCCCAACCTTAAGCCATTTCCTGGTAGAATTTTGGGAGGATGTTAGTTAATTGCGGCTTCTTCACATGGACGCTAAGAGTCTTGCTTTGTTACACTGCAACGTCCTGATTCATTTGGCCTTTGTCACCCCTTCACTTTTGAAAATCTCTGGGAGACTCCCTTTTTCCAGTTTTATTCAAGTCTGTTGGGGCTATGGCAGGCAGTTTGGCATCTTGTGTTAACCAATTCCTGACCTCCGGTGAAACCAGACTACCCAGAACAATTTGAAGACCCCTAGGGATGTCACCCTGTGTCTTGATAAGCCAGACATGGCATGGAAGTTGCACTGGTTGTTTGTTTTTTTGGTTTTTTTTTAAAGATAGGGTCTCACTCGCCCAGGCTGGCGTGCAGTGGCGCAATCATAGCTCATTGTAGCCTCAACCTCCCAGGCTCAAGCGATCCACCTTAGCCTCCCAAATTGCCGGGGTTATAGGCATGAACCACTACTCAGCTCTCTAGGAGGATTTCTGATATCACAGTAATAGACCTGCCAGCCTACTGGAAATAGCACATCAAGTATTTATTAAGGGAATTTATGTAATATTTAAAACAAAAACAGTACTTTTTCAAAAAGAAAATGTGTTTTTAATCAGTCAGCTAATTCTGATCTCTCTTAAAAAATGTCCTTCTCTAGTACAAAACGTGAACAAGAAGTGGCAGAGCTGAAGAAAGCTCTTGAGGAGGAAACTAAGAACCATGAAGCTCAAATCCAGGACATGAGACAAAGACACGCAACAGCCCTGGAGGAGCTCTCAGAGCAGCTGGAACAGGCCAAGCGGGTAAGGGAGGCCCTGCCGTGTGCTGTGGCCTGGAGAAAGTCTGTCGTCAGAGCCACTCCCATCCTATCTGCCCGTTCTGTTCAGTCATGTATTGATTAGGCTCCAGCCTCTGTACGTCACTGAGTGGGCTGCTGGGTACCCAGTTGCCAAGACAGGAGCGGCTTTCAGAAAACACACTGTCTCCTTAGGAAGAAAAGCCAGATGCAAGTGCATGGATCCAGCCACCATCTCAAACCACACAGTCCTCCCCAGTGTCTCTTCTCACTAAACCCTTCTCCCAGTGGCTTCACTCAAAACCCCGAATGGTTTGAAAGTCATTCTTCCCTAACTTGTCTGCTGCCAGTAAGTCACACGTCCTGCCGATGTTCCCCTTCAGGGGTTCCTGACATTCATCTCTCCCTTCTTGTCCTTCCCTGCCTGTGATCTCACCTCAGCCACCAAACACAGTGTTGGCTTTCATTCATTGTTCCCGCTTCTGTATCTCAGACACAGGCTTTCCGTTCTCCTGAAACTTAATTTCATGTGCCCTGTGACTCACGCCACCCTCCTGTGCAGACTGGCCTCCATGACTTCCCATAATCATCCTTGCCTTTGTGACTTGGTTCTTGCTCCAGTTTCTCCATCTTTCTGTTCTTTGCCTAGCCACATGCCACCTTTTAATTTAGACAATGACAATATTAGCATTTACGGAACATTTATGTTTGTGTCAAGTACTGTGCTAAGTACCCTACACGAGTTGCCTTCCTTAATCTTTGCTACAACCCTGTGGCACAGTCTCCTATAATTCCCATTTAAAAGACAAGGAAACTGAGGTCCAGTGGTGTTAGGTAATTAAGCCAGGGTCACACAGCTGGTTCGTGGAAAGGCAGCTTGAAGCCAGACAGTCTGGCCCAGATTCCCATGTGACCACCTTACTACACCCAATCTTGTCCCTGAGGCAGGATGTCATTGGAGATACATCCTGTTGTGGCCACCCCTGCACCAAGGGTGCCTGCTCATGTTAGTAAGTGTAAAACAATTCTTTACACTAACAACACTTTTTTATACAGAGGACAGTGTGAGTGATGACTCTGCAGACAGGACACACCTGGCATGGACAAGGCTAATTACTTAGCACAGTGAGCCCCTAAATATCTGCATCTGCTCCTCGGAGCAGTGTGTACGCGTGTGTTCCTTACGTAGAAATCCTCACACTCAGAGAACAGCAAACATTTTCATTCATTCATTCAACAGATGTTGACTACAGACTCACTGTGTGTTAGGCACAATTCTGCAGACTCAAAAAGCAGTCCTCTGTATGGAGTTTTAGAAAATAACTAGTGAATTATGTTTTCCCTTCCGTCTCCTAGTTCAAAGCAAATCTAGAGAAGAACAAGCAGGGCCTGGAGACAGATAACAAGGAGCTGGCGTGTGAGGTGAAGGTCCTGCAGCAGGTCAAGGCTGAGTCTGAGCACAAGAGGAAGAAGCTCGACGCGCAGGTCCAGGAGCTCCATGCCAAGGTCTCTGAAGGCGACAGGCTCAGGGTGGAGCTGGCGGAGAAAGCAAGTAAGCTGCAGGTAAGCCAGAAACCTCCGCTCTACACACGTCCCACTGTAGCATGTCCCTAATTTACCATTGTATCCCTCTGTGCAATAAGAGACCCATGGCCAATGTGCTGTGCGACACCTGAAAATTGCTATCCAGTAAATACATCGAGTCTTAGGTGTCCCTAGTGTCTATTACTTTGATGAAGTTAAATAATATTTATTTTAAGAAGAACACAGCATGATTGGACTTGATCAGTTCCACTCTGAATTGTGTTTATAGTTGCTTAACAGTTTTAAGCACTTCAGCTTCTCCATTAGTCCAGTAAATAAGAGAATAGGAACAATGGGCCAAAAAAATTATACTTCACATTGGCAAAGATTTACGAGAGTTTTATTTTTTACACTGCTGGTATAAATTAGTGCAACCTTTTTTTTTGTTTTTGTTTTTGTTTGAGACAGAGTCTCGCTCTGTTGCCCAGGCTGGAGTGCAGTGGCGCAATCTCTGCTCACTGCACCCTCTGTCTCCCGGGTTCACACTATTCTCCTGCCTCAGTCTCCCGAGTAGCTGGGACTACAGGCACCCGCCACCATGTCCGGCTAATTTTTTGAATTTTTTAGTAGAGACGGGGTTTCACCACGTTAGCCAGGATGGTCTCAATCTCCTGACCTCGTGATCCGCCCCCCTCAGCCTCCCAAAGTGCTGGGATTACAGGCCTGAGCTACTGTGCACAGCCTAGTGCAACCTCTTCTAAAGGACAGTTTGGCAGTCTTAGATCACGAGCCTTAAAACTGTGAGTATCCTTAGACCCGAAAAATCCATGTCTAGTCATTTATCCTAGGGAATTAACTAAGGATGTACACACAGAGTCAACTTCAAGAATGTTCATTGCAGAAGTGTGTACAAAAGTATATACAGTCAGCCCTCAGTATCCACTGGGGGATTACATCCAGGACCTCCTGCAGATACCAAAATCTTCTGATGCTGGAGTCCCTAATAAAAATGGTATAGTATGGGGCCGGGCGTGGTAGCTCACACCTATAATCCCAGCACTATGGGAGGCTGAGGTGGGCGGATCACCTGAGGTCAGGAGTTTGAGACCAGCCTGGCCAACATGGCGAAACCCTGTCTCTTCTAAAAAATACAAAAAAATTGGCCAGGTGTGGTGGTGCACACCTGTAATCCCAGCTACTCAGGAGGCTGAGGCAGGAGAATCGCTTGAATCCAGGGAGGTGGAGATTGCAGTGAGCCGAGATCACGCCACTGCACTCCAGCCTGGACTACAGAACAAGACTCTGTCTCAAAAAAAAAAAAAAAAAAAGGCATAGTATTTGCATATATGCACATCCTCCCATATACTATAAATCATCTCTAGATTACTTATAATACCTAAGACGATGTAACTGCTATGTAAAAAGTTGTTACACTGTATGTTTTAGGAAATAACGACTCAAAAAAGTCATGTTTTTAGGAAATAACCCAAAAAAGTCATGAACTGTACATGGTCAGTGCACATGCAGGGGTTTTTTTCTGATTTTTTTTTTTTTTTTTTTTTTTTTTTTTGAGACAGAGTCTCGCTCTGTCGGCCAGGCTGGAGTGCAGTGGCGCAATCTCGGCTCACTGCAAGCTCTGCCTCCCGGGTTCACACAATTCTCCTGCCTCAGCCTCCTGGGTAGCTGGGACTACAGGCACCCGCCACCATGCCTGGCTAATTTTTTGCATTTCTAGTAGAGATGGGGTTTCACTGTGTTAGCCAGGATGGTCTCGATCTCCTGACCTCGTGATCTGCCTGCCTCAGCCTCCCAAAGTGCTGGGATTACAGGCATGAGCCACCGCGCCCGGCCCTTTTCTGAATATTTTTAATACATGGTTGGTTGAATCCACAGATGGAACCTATGGATAGGAAGGGCTGACTGTGGTTGGAAATAACTTTAATGTTTAATACGGACTTCTATGCAACCAGCAAAAACAATATAGTCGATGAGTCCTTATTGGTAAGAAAAGATGTACATCCTATATTGCCACATTGAAAAAGAATTACAGAGCTGTCTTGTGTCCGAGGCCCAAGACCACACTACAGTACATGATTCTCCAGGACTCTAGGACTCAGCACAGAGGCCTGCTCATGGCAAAGATTTATTACAGTGAAAAGATACAAAGCAAAATCAGTAAAAGGAAAGGGCACGAGGGCTGAGGTGCTGAGGAAACCAGGAACAAGCTTCCAGGAGTCCTCTCCCAGCGGAGTCACACAGCACGTGCTTAATTCCTCCAGCAGTGAGTCCTGACAGCATGCGTGAAATGTTTTCTTCCAAGAAGCCCATTACAGACTCGGCCCCCAGGGTTTTTATTAGGGGCTGGTTACATAGGCACCTCTTGCCTAGCATAAACCCAAATTGCAGACTCCCAGAAGAAACGTAGGTGTTCAACATAGACCATATTGTTTACATGGACAGTTTAGAGAAAAGCCACCCTTATTGTTCAGGAAATAGTGGGAACTCTTGCTAAATTCAAGTTCCCACACACCAGCCAAAGGTCAACATCGCAAGCAGGCCTTTCGAAGGAGGGTGGTCCCGGCCTGCTGTGTTAACGTGTAGGTACTGAAATATTGTGTGCGTGCTCTCACACACAATCTGGAAAGCTATTCCTAAAAGAGAAAATCTCTGAAACAGCATTATGAACTCTGCCTACGGCGGGGAAGGGAGGGGAGTGACAGTTCCTTGTCCCCTGTGCTGCACCAGGCATGTGCTAGGCTCCCATGTACGTTGTTCCCCATTTAAACCTCAGTCAACCCCTCTGGTAGGTGAGGAACCTGAGGCTCAAAGAAGCTAAGGCTCTTGCCCGCTCTGGTGACTTACCTGGCAACTTCTAGAGCTGGTGCTGAAGGCAGGAGTCCCTCTTGACTTTGGAGCCCTTCCCCACCACACTGTTCCCAAGACTGATGAAGTGTGAGCTCTGTGAAGGATGTTGCTAAACAGAGTGACCATGGAAGCGTTACAGCATGTGCTCTGCTGTGGCTGTGCCACCGTCCACTCTCCCTTGGCCGGTGTGACGAGGACTAGCGAGAACGCACGGCGCCCTGCTGCCCCTCTGCGTCCCTCTGCGTCTTCCCAGCACCCACTGTCGTCAAAAATTATAAAGCATCTTATACCACAAAGATTTGTTTGGAAAATATTTTAGAAATATCATTAATTGCGAAGAAAAAAATATTATTAATTAAATCTGACCATAAGAAATAGCTTAAATATTCATGATGAACATATAATACCAGTTTTTTGAAACCTAAAAGAACTTCCAGCCGGGTGTGGTGGCTCACATCTGTCATCCCAGCACTTTGGGAGGCCGGGGCAGGCAGATCAGGAGGTCAGGAGTTCGAGACCAGCCTGGCCAACATGGTGAAACCCCGTCTCTACTAAAGATACAAAAAATTAGACGGGCGCGGTAGCAAGCGCCTGTAATCCCAGCCACTCGGGAGGCTGAGGCAGGAGAATCGCTTGAACCCAGGAGGCAAAGGTTGCAGTGAGCCCAGATTGCACCACTGCACTCCAGCCAGGGCGACAGGGTGAGACTATCTCAAAAAAAAAAAAAACTTTCTTGTACCCCTTTTATAGAAGCTTCAAGTTCTATAAGAATGTGAATTATACTTTCCTCCCAAAACATATGGTTAACGCATATTCGTGTGAAGGACCAAAATCAAGCACCTGCTGGCCTTCAGCCTCCCCACAGAGGATACAGTCACTCTTTCAGAGGCTTTGCTTTAATTTTTGTATCTTCATGATAAAAATAGAAGAAGGTAGGAAACCAGTTAGGAGACCCCCCGCCCCCTGTCCTTTTCATGGGTAGAGACTATTAAGGTGGCCAGGGAGGCAGGTTCTAGTACCTACTTATTTGAGCTCCGTTTGAAGGCAACAGACTCTTGGTGGTGAGTCTTCCTTAACTGAATGGGTAGTTTCAGGTTCACACTCCCGCCGAGTTCTTCTCTGTGTTCTGTTTAAAAGCTGTGTTTCTAGACCCTTTCTGCTTGCTTACTATTGAGTTGAATTTAATCTTCTGCTCCTTACAGAATGAGCTAGATAATGTCTCCACCCTTCTGGAAGAAGCAGAGAAGAAGGGTATTAAATTTGCTAAGGATGCAGCTAGTCTTGAGTCTCAACTACAGGATACACAGGTATTCCCTGGGGAGCAAGGGGTCTTTATAATAACTAACATTTCTGTAATATATAAGCTGGTGAAATATGCTGGCCCCAGAATTGCCTTCTGTGTCACCTCTTACTAGTTTTATGTCATACTTTTATTTGGAGCCAGCCTTGCTACTCGGGATTTCTCCCTGGAAGCTCAGTGTCTTGATGTAGAGCCCCTGGGGTTCGTGTGTCTGGCAGGCACGTGGGTGGCCTCGGAGACAGCTCCAGCTGCCATTCACGGCCGCTGCCTGGGCTGTGGTTGACCCAAGCTATGGTCCTGCTGCACACAATGTCTTGCTGGCCATTTCCAATAAGATTGTTTCCTTATGGTTGGAATTTCATCGTGCTGACCTGTGAGAAACAGTCCATTTTGTAAAAGGGTGAGTTGAGGCTTATCAGACTGTTAAGACCTGTATTGCATCATCCGTTAGGGATGTTTTTAAGTCAGCTACAGGTTACTTGAAAATAATGTAGCACTTTATTCTTGGAGTTTTACAGCTTAGTTTTGTTAAATTTACAAACACTTATGAGTGTTTATTTGCCAGGCTTTAGGCTAGGTGCTGGGGATTAAAAAAAAAAATCTCAGACAGGCCAAAAGTGGAATAATTAGGCAGTTGGGGACAAGTTCATTTTTACCAAAGCACACCCCATGCATGACAAGGTGCGGCCTGGTGAGTGAGACTAGAGGAGGCCGAAGCCATGGCCCAGAAATTCTGCTCCACACAACCAATGCCTCTGAAGACTTTGCAGTCTGAAAGTAACAGGAAAAACATGTTTGTGCTTACATTTTAGAAGTCAATCTGGCAGGAAATACAAAGGACGATAACTGAGGGATGCCTAAGACGGGAGAGGTGATCCTAGTTCGAAGGGCTGAGGGCCTGAACTAAGACGGGGCAGGGGGTGGAGAGGAAGGGATTCCAGGCGTGACTGAGGAGAGGCGGGGTGTGGTGGGGGACGCAGGAGGGGAGGCCTCGGGGATGCCTGGAGGCTCCAGCCTGGGCCCCTGGGTGGATGGCGCCGCCATTCGTTTTTCAGAGATGAGTCTGAAGCAGTGTTGGTGTGAAGAGCTTTTACAAAGTTATCGTGTGTGTTTTTAAATCATCTGTGTTTGTTAATGTCACTGGGCGTTCTCATGCATTGAGGCTGTCTCTTTTGTACGACATGAATTCTTTAATACAGGTGTATTTGTTTTGGTGATAAATGTAATGGAAGTGTTGCCCTTTAAAAAAAAAACACAGGAGCTTCTTCAGGAGGAGACACGCCAGAAACTAAACCTGAGCAGTCGGATCCGGCAGCTGGAAGAGGAGAAGAACAGTCTTCAGGAGCAGCAGGAGGAGGAGGAGGAGGCCAGGAAGAACCTGGAGAAGCAAGTGCTGGCCCTGCAGTCCCAGGTGTGCGTCCTCTTTAGGAGGCCGCGGTGGCCTCGATGTGTGCCTTCAGCAGATCCTGGCCCTGCTGTGCTGGGCTGTCTCAGCTCCATTTGGGACAGTTAATTAGGTCGTACTAAATTAAGCCCATTAAATGGTTTTTCTTGACCCAGCCACATGCTGGTTATAATGCTGGAAGCCCTTAAAATAAGGACCTAGGACTGTGTCAACGATGTAAGATTTCAATCCAGTCATCATTTTATGGACTATTAGCTAAGAAATTAAGTGACAGTCTAAGACTCATTTGTTTTAAAATCACAGTATTGATTTTTCTTCTCTCAAAATATTAAAAACAAAAGGTTTTTTTTTTCTTCAAAGGCAAAAACCAATTGAGTTCTTTTTTTTTTTTCCTTGAGATAGAGTCTCACTTTGTCGCCCAGGCTGGAGTGCAGTGGCGTGATCTCAGCTCACTGCAGCCTCCACCTCCTGGGCTCAAGTGATCCTCCCACCTGAGCCTCCCCAGTAGCCGAGACTACAGACAGGCGATTTTTGTATTTTTAGTAGAGATGAGGTTTCACTATGTTGGCCTGGCTGGTCTCAAACTCCTGACCTCAAGTGATCCTGCCGCCTCG
This sequence comes from Homo sapiens, assembly GCF_000001405.40. Lineage (NCBI taxonomy): Eukaryota > Metazoa > Chordata > Mammalia > Primates > Hominidae > Homo > Homo sapiens. Next base: position 8,493,124 of record NC_000017.11, on the reverse strand, counting down.
GCCTCCCAAAGTGCTGGGATTACAGGCGTGAGCCACCATGCCTGGCCCCAATTGAGTACATTAATACTGAGCTTTCTGTTTGTCCGTACACAAAACCTAGTTGGCTGATACCAAGAAGAAAGTAGATGACGACCTGGGAACAATTGAAAGTCTGGAAGAAGCCAAGAAGAAGCTTCTGAAGGACGCGGAGGCCCTGAGCCAGCGCCTGGAGGAGAAGGCACTGGCGTATGACAAACTGGAGAAGACCAAGAACCGCCTGCAGCAGGAGCTGGACGACCTCACGGTGGACCTGGACCACCAGCGCCAGGTCGCCTCCAACTTGGAGAAGAAGCAGAAGAAGTTTGACCAGGTGGGTCGGCCACGTGTCGTTTCCTCCTGGCAGAGCTCTTGCTTTTGTTCGTTTGGTTTAAAATAATCTTATTTAAAGGCATTTAAATGTGATACATGTTTATATCAAAATTGGAAAAAGGGAAAGCAAAAAAAAAAAAAAAAAGGAAATACAAGAACACCATAATCTAGTGGCAGCACTCTAGCGATAAATCAGCCACATGGTGGAAGAGAAAAGTTGATGTCACTGTTTCGGTTTTTCGTATTCCCCCATCCCCTTCTGCACAGCTGTTAGCAGAAGAGAAGAGCATCTCTGCTCGCTATGCCGAAGAGCGGGACCGGGCCGAAGCCGAGGCCAGAGAGAAAGAAACCAAAGCCCTGTCACTGGCCCGGGCCCTCGAGGAAGCCCTGGAGGCCAAGGAGGAGTTTGAGAGGCAGAACAAGCAGCTCCGAGCAGACATGGAAGACCTCATGAGCTCCAAAGATGATGTGGGAAAAAACGTAAGTCGCCTGGTGGGCTCCACACTTCCGCACGGGAGAGTATCCCAGGGGCCTGGGCCTTCACACAGGAGCGGGCGACTCCTCAGGGGAGCCTGAAGGACCTGGGAATGCACAGCCCAGCAGCAAAGCCATCTAGGAGTGTTTTGGCCTGTGCATGCGTACGGGGTTCAGGTCTTCTGGGACTGCTGTGAGGTTTTCTGCAGTCTTCCCCCAGCACTGGCTGGAGGTGAACATGTTTCTTCTTGTCCTTTCACTGCCCTCCCTGCTCCAGCCTGCATCCTGGCAGGAGGGCCTTTCAACAAAAGGTTTCATGGTTCTGCCGTCACAGGTAGTTATCAAACATGAGGTGAGTGGGGACCTGGAGAGGAGGAGGAGGGAATGGCAGCTCCCTCTGACCTGGTTCTTCCCAGGGAGGCCCCACTGTTTTCTTTGAGAGCTTCAGTAGCTTTGGGGGCTTATCCACAGCTTGGAAGCTTCTGTGGCACAGTTTTTCTTTCCATTGCATACATCTTCCACAAGAGCTGCCATGATATTTATTTACCCTACGTCTCTCCCTTAGTGTATGACGTGTTGAAGATAGCAAAACAAACCCAGGCCTGGTATCAAAGGCAAGGTTCCCTGGCTCCTCCACAGGCTTCCATTCTGACCATGGGAAGCCACTTAAGCTTTTGAAGCCTAAGTTTCCTTATCTGCCAGATGGACATTATACTTGCCCAATTTCATGAAGTTACTGCATCTGCTTTGAAAAGCACACAAAGTCCTCTAAAAAGGCAGGATCTCATTTTCATGTGCTATGGGCCATCTGGCCACATCATAAGTCAGCGAAGGTGGTCCCACCTTTCTGCTGGGTCTCCTACAACTTGGCGCCCAGGGACTAGCCCCATGGACAAAAAGAGGCCACTGAAAGTAGAAGTGGCCATGGTTACACAGTGAAATGTGGAGAGAGAACTCTACAGTTGATTTCATGTTCGTTTTCTGTAGCATCAACACTCACATGTTGATCCCACAAACAGGTCTTTTGTGCCTACTGAGCACCAGACACTGTAGAAATGGACCTTCCTCCTGTCCTAGGATTCCCCGCGCCTGTCCCCGTGAGAACTGCAGTGGTCCTGGACCCCAGAGGGGGTGCACAGCAGCACCAAGGCCTCCCTCCAAAGGCTGCTGTGAGGGTCAAAGGGCACAGGAGGTGGAGCTCTCAGCACAGTGCTTGGCGCAGAGAATGAGGGAAATGGTGCTGGGGGCATCTTTGTCCAGAGAAAGATCAAGGCCTGTGTACTGTGCCCTGCTTCTTAGGCCCAAGCCACCCTAATAATCAGCAGTTTCCACATGTGCTTTTCAATACGAATGATCTTCTCTACAGCAAGAAGAGATGTACTGTTGTACTTGTTCCTCACAGACAGCAGGCAAGGAGTCAGTCAACAGACAGGTTCCCTGACATGGCTGTTTCCTTTGTTCTTTGGCTCACTGAAGAGCTCTCAGCTTAAAGGTCATCAGAGGAGGATGACCAGAGAACACGTGGGAATAAAGACATCCGCACTGTAGTTCTGAACTGCATACACTGAAATGGAGAATAGCAGCAGCTTTCAGGGGAGAGGGAAGGATGTGTATGCATGTGGCAGGGGGCCGGCCCAGGGGGACCAAAGTGGCCAGCATGCCACGAGTGGGCCTGTAAAACAGTAAGACTGCTGTTCTTCATATGTGCCTCCACCCCGGTCAACTCTTTCCTGATGCTTCGGTGGTTTAGGTTCACGAACTTGAAAAATCCAAACGGGCCCTAGAGCAGCAGGTGGAGGAAATGAGGACCCAGCTGGAGGAGCTGGAAGACGAACTCCAGGCCACGGAAGATGCCAAGCTTCGTCTGGAGGTCAACATGCAGGCCATGAAGGCGCAGTTCGAGAGAGACCTGCAAACCAGGGATGAGCAGAATGAAGAGAAGAAGCGGCTGCTGATCAAACAGGTAGGGCAGAGGGTGCGGCCTCCACAACAAGGGGTGCAGGCTCTCAAAGCCCAGCTCTGGGTCAGTATCCTGTTCATTCGTGTTAGAACACATCTGAGTAAACACAGAGTAACACATAGAGTAAAATGAATTTATTTGGTCATTTGAGAATTTTATTATTTAAATTTTATTGTAATTAGTTTAGGTCTTACTATTTCTCAGTATCATTCCTGCCTACAAGCCAGACACTTATCAGTCAGAAAGCCCTCAGTGGACTCCCAAAGGAATCCGTGGTTAGGTTCAAGTTCCTTGTCTTAGAACATGGGTATAGGAAAGAATTGATGCATCCCAGACACGGTGATTCGGCAGATGTCTGTGGTTCAGATTCCAAGTCCTAATAATTAGATCACTCTTCAAAAGGAAAAAGAGCAGATATTTAAATTTGTCCTTTTATAAAGTTGCTATCCATGTATAAGTTGTATACTTTTCTGAATGTATATTAGACACTTTTCTGCATATATGTTAAATTTCTAGTCTAAAACTTTACTTTAAAAATGAATTGTGGGTATTTTGCCAGTCCCTTCCAGTTCATGGCAGTAAGTTTTGGATTTGGGGTGTGTGTGTGTGTGTGTGTGTGTGTGTGTGTGTGTGTTTTTTCAGACGGAGTCTCGCTCTGTCACCCAGGCTGGAGTGCAGTGGCACGATCTTGGCTCACTGCAACCTCTGCCTCCCAGATTGAAGTGATTCTCCTGTCTCAGCCTCCCAAGTAGCTGGGACCACAGACACACACCACCATGCCCAGCTAATTTTTGTATTTTTAGTAGAGACGGGATTTGATCGTGTTGGCCAGGCTGGTCTCAAACTCCTGGACTCAGGTGATCTGCCCGCCTTGGCCTCCCAAAGTGCTGGGATTACAGGCATGAGCCACCATGCCCGGCCAGATTTGGAATTACTGAATTTTGCTTTATTTTGTTATTTTCACTCCACTAATTATTGATCATTTATTGCTGGATAAGAAATTACCCCAAACTTAACAAATTATTGCAAACTGTGACAACATTTTTGTCACAGTTTCTGTGGGTGAGGAATTGGGAAGCAGTTGAGTCAGTGGTTCTGGTACAGTAAGGACCTCGGCCCTGGCTGCATAATTCGAAGGCCTGACCAGGGCTGGAGGAGCGTGCCAAACTGACTCACACACATGGTGTCAGCAGGAGGCCTCAGCAGCTCACCACATGGGCCTCCTGACTGTCCTGGAGGGAGCTTCAGGAGAGTGAGAGATCCAAAAGAAAGCAAGCAAGGAGGAAGCTTCCGGGCCTTTTATGACCTCATCTCCCAAGTCTCATGTGATCACTTGTTTATTCTGTTTATTAGAAGCAAGTCACTAAGTCTGGCCCACATTCAAGAGGAGATTATGCTCCAACTCTTTAAGGTGGGGAGTATTAAAGAATTTGTAGAAATTTTTTTAAACCACACTTTGAAATTCATGTAAGTGGCTCTACATTAGGAGCCTTCTGCTATCCTGTGCCTTGAGGTACAGCCCCAGGTCTCTGCAGAACACAGCAAGCAGATGACGAGCACCTCTGCCCTATGCGGAAGCAGCTGCCCTGCTCCTCCTCTCCCATGCCAACCCCTGCAGAGCAGCAGCAGCGGTGGCCTTGTTTCTCCCCTTTGGAGAGGACCAGTGGAGCCACCACTCCGTCAAGCCTTGGTGCCTCCATACCAGCTCCCACACCAGCCATCATCCTCTTTGCAGGAAGCGGAAGGTTGTGAAGGCAGGGACCTTTCTTTGCTCGCTGAGCCTCCAGCTGCTACTGCACTACATAGGGTGCAGGTATTTATTAAGGTATTTATGACCTATACCTTAATAAATACATGACGAAACATTCATTTATGGCTGAATAAGTGGAAGAAGCAGGACAGGTTGGGAAGACCATGTCAAGGCAATGACACACAGTCCCTGTGGACTCATGGGCTGATAAGGTTTGGAGCTCAACAGCTCTGTGTCTGGTCCTCATCATTGGTGACAGAGGCGTTAGGATTTGGTTTAAGGACTCCAGAGCACCTTCTTCTGAGCATCCCTCACACAGTGTGAGCACAGTTCCCTATCCCCACTGCACACTAGGAGGCTGAGTGAAGAGTGCCACAGAGTGAGTGAGTGGCTGACAGGTGTGTCCACCTCGGTTTCCAGCCCACATCTTACTCATCCTCACTCTCCCATCTGCCTGCTCCAGAGCAGGCCTTCATTTTGTCCCTCCTCCATTGGACAGCTTTGACTGCTCCCCCCTTTCCTGCTGATCAAAGGCAGTTTCTGCCTGGTTCTGACACCCCTGCAACATGGCCATGCCCCATGTCCTCACAGCTCTAGGAAACAGGAATGCCTGCTTAGTCCTCTGTACCTCTTAGCAACCACCCCATGCCCGCTCTGTGCCTACCCCAGCCTTTATTACATGGTTACCGTATTGTCTTGGGTTTTTCCATCTTGGCTTCATCTACACCGAGCTCAGGTCACTGGCTGCCTTCTCGCATGCCCTCGTAGCAGTCAGTGGGATGGTTTGTACTAGGTGGTGGTGTTTAAAGACCCCTTTGAACAAAATTCAGCTACTGTGGTTTTCTGTTGATAGTAACTGTTTGGTAACAGAGACCTCTACAGAGTAACAGAAGTTTCCACTCACCCGAGTAACCAGAGCCCCCCACTTGAGAACAGTCTGCCTGTTCTGCGAGCAGATACTTGGATGTAACCCAGCATAACCCGATGTTGTCCATTAGGTGCGGGAGCTCGAGGCGGAGCTGGAGGATGAGAGGAAACAGCGGGCGCTTGCTGTAGCTTCAAAGAAAAAGATGGAGATAGACCTGAAGGACCTCGAAGCCCAAATCGAGGCTGCGAACAAAGCTCGGGATGAGGTGATTAAGCAGCTCCGCAAGCTCCAGGTATGTGCCTTCACCCATGGAGTCTCTGGATGGCACCACGTGACCTATGTGGCTTTTACACAGAGTCCAGCAGTGAAGCTGGGGGGCACAGCACCGCTGTCAGCGTGGCCGGGGGTGGGGCAGCAGGCCATAAAGAGAGTGCTTGTGTGTCCGCTGTGTCCACAGGAGATACTTGAATGCACTTAGCAACACAGTTGGGGTGGAGGCATCATGCTGGCCTCCTGTGGCCCTGAGAGCCTGTGGCGATGCTTAAAACCCACCCTTCCTCACCTCGAGAGGAGGGTCATGTTGACCCAGCCCCTTAGTGCTGTAGCTTTTGTGATCTTTTTGGTCTGTTTTAATCGTCACTTTTTCTACCCAGATGATGTGCCAGTTTTCATTACCACAATGACAAGAAGTGATCTCTGCAAGAGTTCATGGTGTGAGCAGGCAGGCAGGGGGCCCTCACCTATAGGATGGATGGGAGCAACTTCTCAGGGGAACTGGTCCGTTAATGATGAAAACTTTTCCTTTGACCTTGTTGATACATCTTGAAAATTTAACAAAATATAAAGAAGAAATTTTTATGTACAAAGATCTTTAGCAGAAGTTTTGTTATTTATGATAGCAAAAATGGAAACCCCCTAAATGTCAATGGACTGCTAACCATCTAAGTGATGGGGTGTGTGGGGAATGATGGCCAGACTTAAATGAATAAAGGAAAATATGGTGTAGGACGGTTTGACTTGTAACTCTACACATGTGTGTGTATACATTTTCACATACAGACATGTAGGCAGACATACTATACCTAGAAAAAAGTTTGGAGGGAAAGTCATCTCTGGGTAATAGGTTGGTAGGAACTTGTTTCCATTTTTTTTTTTTTTTTTTTTTTTTTTTTTTTTTTTTTGAAGCTAAATATAAAGATTTTTTTTTTGTTTTTTTTCCCAGAGATAGAGTCTCAGTCTGCTACCCAGGGTGAAGTATGGTGGTGCAGTCATGGCTCACTGCAGCCTGGGCTCAAGATTTTTATTAGCTAATTATAAAAGTTATTAAGCTAATTAATTACAAAGAATATAAACTATAATACTGTGATTTTATTTAACAGCTTTATTGAAATATAGTTCACATACCACACAATTCGCCAGTTTAGTGTTTTCAGTGTTTTTTAGTTATTCATAGGCTTATTCAGCCATCACCACTATCATATTTGGGGCATTTTGGTCCCTCCCAAAAGAATCCTCCACCCATTAGCTGTCACTCCCCATTCCCTGTATCCCTGCTGCATCCTGCGTTAATCAACTACTAATCTTTCAGTCTCTATAAATTTGCCTTTGTTCCATATTTCATATCAGTGGAATCATACAATATGTGGCCTTTTGTGACTGGTTTTCCACTTAGCATGATGTTTTCAAAGTTCATCCATGTAGCCACATGAACAAGTACCGCACTCCTTTTTATTACTGAGTAACACTCTACTGTGTGGATACATCTACCACATTTTACTCGTCTATCCCCCAGTTGGACATTTGGGTTGCTTCCATTTTTTTGACTTCTGAATAATGCCTCTATGAACATTCATATGCATTTGTGTGGACATGTGCTTTCAGTTTTCTCAGAAATATACCTAGGAGTGGAATTGAGCTGGGTTATATGGTACCTCTGTGTTTAACTTTGAGGAACTGCCAAACTGTTTCCCACAGTCACTGCAGTTTTACGTTCCTACCAGCTATGTATGAGGGTTCCAATTTCTCCACATCTTGTCAACATTTGTTATTGTCCATCTTTTGATTGTAACCATCTTAGTGGGTGTGAAGTGACATTTCATTGTGGCTTTTATTTTTATTTCTCTAATGACTAATGAGGTTAAACAGCTGAGCTCTCTTTTAATTATTGAGTTGAAACAATTCTGTATTCTGGATATAAATTCTTTGAGTAAATGATTTCCACACCTGCCTTAGCTTAATTTCTGCCACCAAAAAAAAAAAAAAAAAAAGCCAGCTTGGGTTTTGATAGTTTATTGTGTTGATGTGTAAATCAATTTGGAGAGTATTGCTATTTTAACAATATTAAGTCTTCTGGTCTACAAACATGGATAATCTTTCCATTTATTTAGATCTTTTTTATTTTTTTCAGTGACGTTTTGTAGTTCTTGGTATACAAGTCTTTCACTTTTTTTCTTTATACCTAAGTTTATATTCTTTTGATGGTATTATAAATGTAATTGCTTTATTTTGAATGTTCATAGTTGGTGTATAGAAATATAATTGATGTTTGTATGTTGATCTTGTATCCCGCAATCTTGCTAAACTCATCAATTAGTTCTTGTGGGCTTTCTTTTCTTTTACTGTCCATATTACCAGCAGTTCTAATTCTTTCAGTGTCTTCCTTAAGATTTTCTATATACAATATCAGATCATCTGCAAATTGAACTAGTTTTACTTCTTCCTTTCCAATCTGGATATCTTTTATTTCTTTATCTTGCCTAATTAATTACCCTGGCTAGAATCTCTATTGCATTGTTAAGTAGAAGTGGCAAGATCAGACATCCTTGTCTTGTTGCTCATCTTTTAGAGGGAAAGCATTTGGTCATTGATCCTTAAGTATGATATTGGCTGTCAGTTTTTCATTGATGCCCTTAATCAGAGTTGAAGAAATTTCCTTCTGTTCATAGCTTGTTGAGCATTTTTATATTGAAAGGGTATTAGATTTTGTCAAGTGCTTCTTCAGCATTTATTGTGATGATCATATGGTTACATTAATTCATTTTTGGTTGTCAAACCAACCTTGCATTCCTCAGATAGATCCTGCTTGGTCATGGTGTATAATCCTTTTTACATGTTGCCAGATTCAGTTTGCTACTATTCTGTTGAAGATTTTTGCATTTGTATTCATAAGGGATTTCATTTTGATCTGTAGTTTTCTTACGATATCCTTGTCATTCCCATATACTTTTATATTTACAATGAATGTATATTACTTTTATAATCTAGAAAAAAAATACCATGTTTACAAGCTAAGAATGGGGCCAGGCACCGCAGCTCACACTTGTAATCAGGAGCAATGCTTGAGGCCTTGAGTTTGAGATCAGCCTGGGCAACACAGCCAGGGCTCATCTCTAAAAAAATTTTATTTTAACTAAAACTAAGAATGTAAACCACCCCAAAACCTTCTTATTTAATCTTAGGCTCAGATGAAGGATTACCAACGTGAATTAGAAGAAGCTCGTGCATCCAGAGATGAGATTTTTGCTCAATCCAAAGAGAGTGAAAAGAAATTGAAGAGTCTGGAAGCAGAAATCCTTCAATTGCAGGAGGTTGGTTTGTTACTTATCCATTTGTTCAACAAATATATTTGCCCTTGAAATTTCTCCAAGATCAAAAAAAAGTTAATATATTTGTAGCCCACTGTAATGTCAGTATACATTTTTGTTTTTTATTTTTTTAAGTATCCATTTTTAATATGGTCCTCAACCTTCTTGTTGCTTCAGTTTGGAAACAGAAAGTTATCACTTCGACACTGCTCACATATATTCCTCTACCTGGCAAAAGGCAAAGGAGCTGATGAGTAGCTTTTCAGGCCACCTTCTTGGCCTGTTCCCCTGTGCAGGAAAGGGAAGTGTTGATAAGCACAAGAACTGTGTAACTCCAACCTTGGTGATGCAAAATTGCCTTGTTTTTACACAGAAGCACTACTCATGTGATAACTTAAAAGGAGAGAAGTTTGTTTCATTGAATTCCTGTTATTCCTTCATTTATCTTTCTTGTAAGTTCTCATGAAGCAGAGACTGATAAAGTGTTGCATATAGGAACTGTAACAGTGCAAGGCACACTTAAATATACACATTACCGTATAAATGATGGATAATCAACATTTCTTCAAACCTGAAAAGGTAAGTTAAATGTTATTATCAGTTAATATGAAAAAACTCCCAATACAAACACCTATAAATATTGGATAAAATATTAGCAAAGGCAGAGTTGAGCTTGCAAGAAAGGAGGACGGCTCTCTAGGTGTCAGGAATGAACAAGGAACTCAAAACCAGATCAGTAAACACGGAGCCGACCCTGAGAGAGAACCTGAGAGCCAGCTTCAAGAGGTTTTCGTCCTGCTGTCCTCTATCTCACCATTTTTTGCTCCTTTTTTTTCTGACTTCTTGAGTTGGACACTTAGCTCATCAGCTCTCAAGCTTCTTGTCTGATATGTTTATAAAAGACTGTAAATTCCCCTCTAAGATCGGTTTTCATCATGTTCCACAAATTTTGATGTGGAGTAATTTCATTGTCATGTAATTCTAAATTTTTCTAATTTCTATTATGGTTTCTTCTTCATCCTGTGAATAATTTAAGCTTGCGGTTTAAATTTCCAAATGTATGGCATTTGCTTGTTTTTTAAGTTGATTTCTAGTTTTATCACATTGTGGTCAGAGAATGCTGAGAAAGAGCTCTGGGACCTAGAACACGTTAGTTTTTATAAGTGTTCCGTGGGTACTTAAAAATGATGCATGTTCATCAATGAAGTAGATGTGTAAGCTCTATGTATCCATCATGGAGTTGATTGGTGAGATCCCCAAATGCTCATTTCCCCAAAGGCGATGTGGCTGTTGGAGCCTGCCTCCTAGAGAGCGCTCCTGGGCCATTACCCAAGTGTCCAAGAGGCATTCTCTGTACCACACTGTTTTTTCTGAAAGTGTTTCTTTCAGACTCTCAGGCAAGGCCTGACTCACACTGCATTAGGGAGAAGAGACTGAGCTGGAAAGCTGGCCCTGCCCTTCCCCCTATTTCTGACACTTTTCCTTCCCTCAAACACCTCCGTTCATCTGGCTTAGAGGCCCCGGGGTCCCTTCCTTTCTCCCGTGGGTCCCTCAGTCTGCCTAGAGCCCCACCCCCAAGCCAGTGGACAGTGAGTGTTTCATAGGCCCAAGAAGACAAAACACCAGAGGCCAGATGGTAGAGCTGTCTGGAGTCAGTGGCCCTGGGATCAGGCCTGGAACATTCCGTCAGCTGCCTCTCTTTCCTTCCTGACTCCCACCCTGCCCTGTGTGCCAGGATGTGCTAGAACCCAGGCCTGTCAGAGGACCTTCAGCCTACACTCATGTAAGGCAGGTGCACGTGCTGGAGCAGACAGAGGAGCTCCCGTGCAGCCCTGCTCCTAAGACACCTTCAAGGTGTGCTCTTGCCAAATGTGGCATCTTTTGGAAGGGGCAGCTGGTGGGAAGAGCCCTGGACAGGGAGTAGGAACCCTGACTTTTTGCTGCTGACTAACCTTGGGACTTTGGGCCAGTATCTTCATCCAGGTGGGCCTCAGTTTCCTCATTTATAAGATAAATGCACCCTTGACTCCTTTCCATGGCAAATCATCCTTCCAAAGAAGTTTGTGGAAAAGCAGCCATCAGGCAGTTCCTCCCGTGGGCTGGCAGGCACAGGGCTGTCCCCATTGTCCAGTCCTCTGAGAGCCCCCTGTGGAGCCACAGTCCCCTTCAAGAAAGAGGCCTTGCCCACCTTAGAGGCCCAGCTCTGCAAACACTTGAGCCCCTGCGGAGGCCCCCACCTGCCTCCTCTCCATGGGAGCATTGATCCTTGTTGCGGCACAGCTGCCTGGATCCGCACTGGTCTGTGCAGCCAGCGTCCTTGATCTCAAACTGTTTATGTGAAAGATACTTCAGGGCCATCAGTTGGTATAGCTCATGTTTCTTAGGGTTCAGGGTTTATATAAAGTTCATGCTCAGTTTATATTAAGAAGCACCAGCTTTCCAAGAAGGGCAGGAACATAGCCACCTCTTACGTTGGAGGTGACAGCAAAGCCCTTATGGCAATGAAGACTTTCCTCTGGACATCTGTGTCAGATGCTGACACCACACACCACCTGGCTGGCCTGCACCGAGCAGATTTTCTTGACAGTTTAATTTCTCAAATCTAAATGACAGCTTGAGGTGCAGGTAAACAGTGACAGGAGCAAGGTCGCTGTAGCTCCAGGCACTGTCAGATTCCACAGGTGAGGAAACTATTCACAGCCAGAGCTTAACGCAGTCTCCACTGCTTAGGAACTTGCCTCATCTGAGCGAGCCCGCCGACACGCCGAGCAGGAGAGAGATGAGCTGGCGGACGAGATCACCAACAGCGCCTCTGGCAAGTGAGTCTCCCACGGCCGGGGGTGGGTTCTTCGCCCTCAGGCACGCGCACTGCTGAGAAGGCTGGAGGTGTCCACACACCTGGCATCAGCGGGTGGTTTGCTCCTCCCTCGCTGGGCCTGGGCTGCCTCAGCCATGGTACCCCGTGCCAGTCCTGCCGAGCCCTGCACACCGCAGGTGGGAGCCGTGGTGTGCACTAACGGGCACTGCACCCGTGCCAGTCCTGCTGAGCCCTGCACACCGCAGGGGGGAGCCGTGGGGTGCGCCAACGGGCACTGCAGGCCTTCACTTTCCAGCTAGCTTTGGCAAGCAGGTTCCTCAGATAGGACCTTTCTCTGAATTCATTTTTTCGTTAAAAGTCATTACTGAACTGAACGTCCATCATGCGCCTTTTTGAGCATGCCATCATGAGTAGTTAGAATTTGATTCTCAGTGCATTGGAAACCACTGAAGAGTTTCAGCGGTGGGGAGGCTGGGGTCGTGCTTGCGTTTTGAAAGCGACTCTGGCTGTTGTCTGTGGAGAACAGCTGGAGAGAGGCAGGCAGGGCAGCGGGAGGCCACCCAGCAGTCCAGGTGAGAGATGACAGGCCTGCATCTGGGTGGTGGCAGCGGGGGAGGGTGTTTGGAAGTGTCATCAGTGGGACCTACTGATGGATTTGGGGATGAGTGCAGGGGAAAGAGAAAATTCAGGATGGCTGCTCAGGTTTCCAGCAACAGGGTGGGTGGAGGAGCCTTCCCTGAGGCTCCTGTGCTGTGCTGAGCTGGGATTGAACCGTCCCCTCCTCCTCTCCCCGCCAGGTCCGCGCTGCTGGATGAGAAGCGGCGTCTGGAAGCTCGGATCGCACAGCTGGAGGAGGAGCTGGAAGAGGAGCAGAGCAACATGGAGCTGCTCAACGACCGCTTCCGCAAGACCACTCTACAGGTGGCCCATGCAGGAGCCCGTCACCCAGGGAGGGCTGTGCCACCCCTCAGGCACAAGTGACTAAACTCCTCTCTCCTCTCTAGGTGGACACACTGAACGCCGAGCTAGCAGCCGAGCGCAGCGCCGCCCAGAAGAGTGACAATGCACGCCAGCAACTGGAGCGGCAGAACAAGGAGCTGAAGGCCAAGCTGCAGGAACTCGAGGGTGCTGTCAAGTCTAAGTTCAAGGCCACCATCTCAGCCCTGGAGGCCAAGATTGGGCAGCTGGAGGAGCAGCTTGAGCAGGAAGCCAAGTAAGAGGTTTTTGCTACCGTAAACCAAAACTTACCAACTAGGCTCAGTCAGAGACAAAACAGGCATGCCCCTTTCGGGGGGGCTCCCCACCACGTGGGCAGAGAACACATATAACCAGAGTGGGACACAGAAGTTGGTGTGAGCTGTGAGAGAAGAGCTGTGAGCATTCAGAGCCTGGGAGGACAGACGGCATCCGTGAACAGTCAGGGAAGGCTGGGCTTTAGGACGGCGCCCCGTGATTTCCTAGGCACCCTGAGTTTGCATCTCCTACCCAAAGTCGATTTCCCAAGCGTGTGGCAGCCCATGAAATGCTAATTTGCTGCCAGAGAACAAATGCAGTATGACACAAATCAGAGCCTTTCTTCTCCCCATAGAAGGGATTGCTTAACAGCTTTCATATTGTTGTATTAAAGCATTCTGAAATTGATGAGAAATTGTACAGTACAGCTGCTGGCAGGCATATTACAAAGCTATTAGGTCATAGCGCCCAGAGCCAGGGCAGACCTTCAGATTCACCCTCTTGCTGGGGAGCTTGGAGCCCAGAAATGCAGGGCTCGCGGCCAGAACCCTGCATCCTCCCCAGCCTCTCGTGCCAGGACTTCCCACTCCATTCTTTGGACTCCAGTGGGCTGAAGCAAACAATTAAGGGTTTGTTTCTAGTTGGAATTAACATAAACACCCTTTCAGCTGACTGTCTCTATCTACTTTTGCATAATATTTGTTAAGCAACAAAATAACTTTTTCTGTCTTCCATGGAGTCCTCCAAATAAGTTACCTCTCCTTCATATGGGACGACGTAGATGCATCTGGAAACATGGATTTGTTTCACCTCTAACCAAAGAGGGAGTGTAGGGGGTTTGTTTTTGGGTTTTTTTTCAATGTGAGCTGCCAAAGCCCTCTACATCACAATAGGTAATTAGTAAATTATCAAGTGAAACAATCACTTAATAAATTGGGTTGTTTCTCAGGCTAAAAGTTTAGGTGATTAAACTAAGGATGGTGTCTTCAAAAGTCTATGTTCAGTATAACTGACAGGTAGATTGTATGTAACATTTGCTCTTTAGATCACTGTGTACAGGCCGGGTGCGCTGGCTCACGGCTGTAATCCCAGCACTTTGGGAGGCCAGGGCGGGCAGATCACCTGAGGTGAGGAGTTCGAGACCAGCCTGGCCAACGTAGTAAAACCCCGTCTCTGCTAAAAATACACAAATTAGCCCAGCGTGGTGGTGCATGCCTTGTAATCCCAGCTACTCAGGAGGCTGAGGCAGGAGAATTGCTTGAACCCAGGAGGCGGAGGTTGCAGCGAGCAGAGATGGCGCCACTGCACCCCAGCCTGGGCGACAGAGCAAGACTGCATCTCAAAAACAAACAAAGTAAGATAACTGAGTACAATGATGAATACCTGTGTACAGTAATTAACACCTACACGTGCAGGAATAATGCACTTATTCTACCTGTCACTATTGAGGAATACATTAAAGGCAATTCTGATTTTGACCAGAAGGAAAGGTTTCAGCACATTAGTCATGAATTCTGGACAGAGAGGTCCATAATGCCTCCACCATGTGTCATCTTCCCAAAGAAAAGGGGCTTTAAAAAATATTTTTTCCCACACAAAATACCATTTCAAGAATTTCAAAACTACTGTGACCACTTTCACAGGGAACGAGCAGCCGCCAACAAATTAGTCCGTCGCACTGAGAAGAAGCTGAAAGAAATCTTCATGCAGGTTGAGGATGAGCGTCGACACGCGGACCAGTATAAAGAGCAGGTACGCGAGGAAGTGCCTCCCTGGGAAGCGCGTGAGCAAAGGAACTGGTGGAGAATGAGCTGGTGGCACAACTGACCAGTGGAATTCAGGGCCCTCCCGATTCTGATGTTTCAGCTAACGTGGGCTGTTCCATGTTCCTGGTGGGCACTCCCAGTACCCGAGACACAGGAGGGCGGGGAGAGCAGGTCAGGAAGCAAGTTCAGTGAGGCCTGGACTGAACTGTAAAGCTCCTGCTTCCTCCACTAGAATGTGTGCTTCGTGAGTACAGGGATTTCTGCCTGTTTTGCTCCCTGTTATCTCCCTAATGCCTAGTATAGTTTCTGGATATTGCTGGCAGTCATGAGATACTGGCTGGGTGTAGGGTGGGCACAGGAGATACTGAATAGAAAGTGAAGGGAAGACAAAGGTACTGCACGCTGCACCCGAGTGAGCTTCAGCGTCTGCATCCAGGCCCCCTTTTCTAAGTACACAGGGAATGTTCCGCAGGACTTTGAACTGTGGGTCAGGCCTGCCCTGATTGCAGCGTGGGCAGCTATACCCTCCCTCCCGCTCCCTGCCCTCTGCCTGGTGAGACTTCACACTGCAGACACTGGCCAGAAAGGTGGATGGATCTGAGGATTTCACTGCCTTTGGCCCGAACCCTCCCCAACTTCATTCATTCAGTCAGGCAACCTGGCCTTCCCTTCCCACCCCCACCCTTGGGGCCTAGCAACACGGAGCACAGTTGAGGGTGGTGTGCGCTGGACCCACGAAGCACTGACCAGTGCCTGTGTGGCTCAGGAATGAAGGGTCCAAAAGGGAGGCTCTTAGTTCTGTGGCATGTCATCCCAGGGTGGCTTTCTGCTTGAATCCAAGTCTAGTATCTGAGATGCCCATCCTTGAAAGGAGGTGTAAAGATGCATTGTACCATCTTCTGGGCTGGGGATTGTCCCACATTGCTGGTTCTTCCACGTTTTGCAAGAATAGCAATTCCCTTTCAGTCCCCTAGGTCACGTGTGTGAAGACAGTAAACGCTGTCATTTTTCTGCAGAAAACTCACTGGTAAAAACAGAGTCTTGAGTACTTTTTCATTTCTTTTGGCCTAGTGTGCTTTGTAGATGCTAGCTTTGCTGAGAGCGGCAGGCCGGTTACAGAGCCTCCGACCAGCCCCCAGGCACGCGTGTACATCCGTGTACACGCGTGCTCACAAGGGTAACAGGCAGAGCCCCACACTGCCACGCTCGGGGTACAGAGAGGCCGACACTGGATTCACCAGTTTGGTTTGTTTTGGTTCATGTACCCTCCCCAAGATGGAGAAGGCCAACGCTCGGATGAAGCAGCTTAAACGCCAGCTGGAGGAAGCAGAAGAAGAAGCGACGCGTGCCAACGCATCTCGGCGTAAACTCCAGCGGGAACTGGATGATGCCACCGAGGCCAACGAGGGCCTGAGCCGCGAGGTCAGCACCCTGAAGAACCGGCTGAGGTGAGCAGGCATGCGGCCCCGAGCTGACAGGCAGCTGCTTTGTGGGTTAGCTTAGGCTCGGGGTGCAGCTGGTCAGAGGAAGTTTACTTAGATCCATACCCAGTGACCCATTCTTTCTCCCGAACCACTTCATTTAAGATTTCTGACCTTTATAGTCGTCCTTGGGGAGAATAAAAGAGGAGGCGGCCCTATTCATTGCCAGTCACTAGAGGACCACACTAATCCACCACACCAGGCTGGAGCTGGGTCAGGCATCCATCCCTGTCCAGATATCCATTAGTGAAGTGAGCTCCCAGCCTCTCTTAAAAAGCAGGGCAGGAGCTCCTCCTGGGACCTGGTGCCATCAGCCCTCCTCAGCACCGTCCTCCTCACCACAATGGATCTGCTCTGTACCAGTGAGAGGGCAGAGCGTGAGAGAGCTACAGCTGAAGTCTCTGCCCCAGAAGACCAGGTCGGCGGAGGTTTCAGCACATCTGGCCAATGGGCAGATTTGGTGCATACCCTGCTTTTATACAGCCATCAAACTAAGCATGGTTTCTACATTTTTAAATGGTTATAAAAACGCCGAAACAAAGAATATGCAACAGAGTCCCTATGTGGCCCACTTTGCTATCTGGCTGATTCCCTGGTTAGCAGGTAGAGCTTGGCCTTAATCCGTCTTCCTTACCATTTCCATCACACAGTCCTAGGCTGAATCAAGTCCTCCCCAGTTCTCCAAGGACCCTGCTTCGCGTACTCTGCAGGCAGGGTTGTGGGAGAGGCAGAAAAGCACGCAGTCCTTCCCCATCGTACCGCCACCCCCACAAGGTCGTGTGTCCGAGGAGGGGGTGCAAGGGGAAGGTTCCGTGGCATTGAGTGGTTGAACATATTGACAGCCATGTGCTCCTGTCTGTTTACCCACACACATCTGCTTCCTGTGTTCTCCAGGCGGGGTGGCCCCATCAGCTTCTCTTCCAGCCGATCTGGCCGGCGCCAGCTGCACCTTGAAGGAGCTTCCCTGGAGCTCTCCGACGATGACACAGAAAGTAAGACCAGTGATGTCAACGAGACGCAGCCACCCCAGTCAGAGTAAAGTTGCAGGAAGCCAGAGGAGGCAATACAGTGGGACAGTTAGGAATGCACCCGGGGCCTCCTGCAGATTTCGGAAATTGGCAAGCTACGGGATTCCTTCCTGAAAGATCAACTGTGTCTTAAGGCTCTCCAGCCTATGCATACTGTATCCTGCTTCAGACTTAGGTACAATTGCTCCCCTTTTTATATATAGACACACACAGGACACATATATTAAACAGATTGTTTCATCATTGCATCTATTTTCCATATAGTCATCAAGAGACCATTTTATAAAACATGGTAAGACCCTTTTTAAAACAAACTCCAGGCCCTTGGTTGCGGGTCGCTGGGTTATTGGGGCAGCGCCGTGGTCGTCACTCAGTCGCTCTGCATGCTCTCTGTCATACAGACAGGTAACCTAGTTCTGTGTTCACGTGGCCCCCGACTCCTCAGCCACATCAAGTCTCCTAGACCACTGTGGACTCTAAACTGCACTTGTCTCTCTCATTTCCTTCAAATAATGATCAATGCTATTTCAGTGAGCAAACTGTGAAAGGGGCTTTGGAAAGAGTAGGAGGGGTGGGCTGGATCGGAAGCAACACCCATTTGGGGTTACCATGTCCATCCCCCAAGGGGGGCCCTGCCCCTCGAGTCGATGGTGTCCCGCATCTACTCATGTGAACTGGCCTTGGCGAGGGCTGGTCTGTGCATAGAAGGGATAGTGGCCACACTGCAGCTGAGGCCCCAGGTGGCAGCCATGGATCATGTAGACTTCCAGATGGTCTCCCGAACCGCCTGGCTCTGCCGGCGCCCTCCTCACGTCAGGAGCAAGCAGCCGTGGACCCCTAAGCCGAGCTGGTGGAAGGCCCCTCCCCATCGCCAGCCGGGCCCTCATGCTGACCTTGCAAATTCAGCCGCTGCTTTGAGCCCAAAATGGGAATATTGGTTTTGTGTCCGAGGCTTGTTCCAAGTTTGTCAATGAGGTTTATGGAGCCTCCAGAACAGATGCCATCTTCCTGAATGTTGACATGCCAGTGGGTGTGACTCCTTCATTTTTCCTTCTCCCTTCCCTTTGGACAGTGTTACAGTGAACACTTAGCATCCTGTTTTTGGTTGGTAGTTAAGCAAACTGACATTACGGAAAGTGCCTTAGACACTACAGTACTAAGACAATGTTGAATATATCATTCGCCTCTATAACAATTTAATGTATTCAGTTTTGACTGTGCTTCATATCATGTACCTCTCTAGTCAAAGTGGTATTACAGACATTCAGTGACAATGAATCAGTGTTAATTCTAAATCCTTGATCCTCTGCAATGTGCTTGAAAACACAAACCTTTTGGGTTAAAAGCTTTAACATCTATTAGGAAGAATTTGTCCTGTGGGTTTGGAATCTTGGATTTTCCCCCTTTATGAACTGTACTGGCTGTTGACCACCAGACACCTGACCGCAAATATCTTTTCTTGTATTCCCATATTTCTAGACAATGATTTTTGTAAGACAATAAATTTATTCATTATAGATATTTGCGCCTGCTCTGTTTACTTGAAGAAAAAAGCACCCGTGGAGAATAAAGAGACCTCAATAAACAAGAATAATCATGTGAACGTGGAATCTGTTTTCTCACCTTCTGTTCTCGATTTCCCATCTGTGATCTGACTGGAGGGTGGGTGCTACACACCAACTTCAAATGATGGCGCCAGGCCCTTTTTGCTGAGGGCGCTGTCTCCCAGGTCAGACGACAGAATAATTCTCAGGCCAGTCCTGGCTCCAACTCTTGTTCCTGCCAGTGCCTCACAGGATGCACACGCACTAGGAAGGGAAAGACCACCCAAAGGCAGGAGCTGGCCCACCTGTCAAGGGAGTGATTTAGGAGGGCTCTGGTCACCAGCCAATGAAGCTCACTGCTGGGTTAGGACATTTTCAGGGGTCCAGGACATTTCAGGCTGCATTTTCAGGCAGACACGCATTGAAGATGCTTTTGGAGGATTCAGTGATGAGGCCAAGGGCAGCCTCTCTAGTGCGGGCCAACTAGGATGAGAGAAATACTAGGGCAGCACAGAATCAAACAGAGAATGCCGATTTCTTGTTCCATAATATTCTCCGGTTAGACTGGTTCTGGGGGTAAGGGGTCTATGACTAGGCTTCTTGGCAGCAGTAGAAACGTGTGAAATGGGCCGAAGTGCCCTCTTCCTCCTGTGCCACTACCATAGGAGAGGAAAGGTGAGTCACAGGTATGGTGCTTCAGCAGGGCTCCCACCCCCACATCCAGTATCTTATCCAAGAGTGTACAGAATTCAGAGGCTTGTTTTTCTCAAAAAGTAAGAACTCTGGGCTGGGCATGGTGCTCACGCCTGTAATCCCGGCACTTTGGGAGGCCAAAGCAGGTGGATCATTTGAGGTCAGAAGTTCGAATCCAGCCTGGCCAACATGGTGAAACACCGTCTCTACTAAAAATACAAAAATTAGCCAGGTGTGGTGGTGCACACCTGTAGTCCCAGCTACTTGGGGGGCTGAGGCATGAAAATCACTTGAACCTGGGAGGTGGAGGCTGCAGTGAGCCGAGATCACACCACTGCACTCCAGCCTGGGTGACAGAGAAGGGCGACTCCGTCTCAAAAAAAAAAAGAATTCTTCCCTACTGGCTGATCTAACTGGTGTTCACGTCACAGTTTCCCAACTACTCAGCGTGCCAGGAGAAACAATCTGTGTGAACCAATTCCAGGCCCTGATTCTGCAAAGATACTATTTAATAACTAAAAGGGTCCCTTCTTGACTGACCCGACACTCCAGACCTAAGGAAAGGTAGTTTATACAACCTTCGTTGGGCATTCAGAGCACAAGGAAGACAGTTTATGGCAGCTGGGCTTTGAGTGTATCAGAAGATCAAGCTGGTCAGCTTCTACCCAGCAGCAGTGTGGTTCCCGGTGAGGAGGAACTCAGGCAAGACTTGGGAAAGGCTTGCTCTTTCGTTGAGCCTGGGTCTAGACGACATGAGGCAGTGCCGGGGCTTCGTTTAGGGCCATAAGCGCTCTGCCCTTGCCACATCATAGATGCCAGTTTTTGTTGTTGTTTTTATTTATTTTCTTTAATGCAGCCATTCCAGTGGACTATTTTTAAACTGCTTTGGAAGGATAACAACTTGTTTTTTTTCCCGAGACAGAGTCGCGCTCTGTCTCCCAGGCTGGAGCGCAGTGGCATGCTCTCAGCTCACTTCACCCTCCACCTCCGGGTTCAAGCCATTCTCTGCTTCAGCCCCCCGAGTAGCTGGGATTACAGGCGCCCGCCACCAGGCCTGGCTAATTTTTGTATTTTCTTTTTTTGTAGAAACGGGGTTTCACCATGTTGGACAGGTTGGTTTTGAACTCCCGGCCTCACGTGATTCGTCCCGCCTTGGCCTCCCTCCCAAAGTGCTGGGATTACAGGTGTGAGCCACCATGCCCAGCTAACACCTATTTCTAGCCTGCTGGCTTGAGGGGACACTTCCAATTCCTGATGGCATCAGGCTATAGATTTGTCACATCTTTGTGTCACCAATTTTTCCTGTCCCAGGAAACCTCAGCTAAGATGAACTGTGAGCCGTAAGGCCAAGCTGTTCTAGCCAGCCCTTTCTATGGCTCTGGGTATGACCGACCCAGGGCCCTTCTCCCCAGAGGCCGGTGCTGCTGAGGGACAGACATGTCCACATCAAGACTGGAGAAGAGAGCTCACTGTTGTCAAACCACACCTTCCTGCTCTTCCTTCACTCCCAAAAAAAGAAAAAAGCCAGAACAGGCTCCAGGTTGGAATCGTTAGGAAGTGGTGAGGACTCCTCTCCCTTGAGTTCCAGGCAGGTCTCCCCTTGCGAGGCCCCACCCACACAGGCTTCCCAGTCTCTGGGAGGAATGCAAGAAAGGACCTCTCCCTTTCCACCTTTCGGGGACAACATCTGCACCAAGAGCTTTCCCAGATGTTGAGTTTTTGCCAAAATGCCGTCCTAAGTCAGCTGTCAGGACCAGACAGAGAAGTCCACTTCCTTCTGTAGGCACCTGCCATTTGGGAATCAAGCAGATTGTGAAGTACCTCATTCTTGTTGGGAATCTTATATGAAGCTATTGAAAGGGTGTAAGTCCATCATGCTACTGCTTTTCAAAGGCATTCACTATAGCTACAGAGCCTGTAAGCTGGGCAGAAAGTGTGGCCCCGGACTTCAACCCCTACTGAGACTAAGCAGCCCAGTAACAGGCTCCATTCCGGCTGACTGGATGTCACAAAGCCTTATTCGAGAGGTAACGTGACATAACCGACAAACTGGGTCTCACAGATCCCCATGCAGAGCGCTGCCTCTCCCAAGTATGTGCCATACTGCACAGGTGCCAAGGCACCCCCAGCTTCACGTGGGCCACATCTCCTGTATCTCACAATCACTGTCAGTAGGCGCAGCTGTGATGGTGTCATTGCCCGACTCCTGGAAAGATCGATAAAGCACAGCATCAAAATTTACAGAATGGGAAATACAAAATTAGCCGGGCATGGCGGCACATGCCTGTAATCCCAGCTACTTGGGAGGCTGAGGCAGGAGAATCGCTTGAACCTCGGAGGCAGAGCTTGCAGTGAGCCAAGATCACGCCATTGCACTCCAGCCTGGGCAACAAGAGCGAAAATCTGTCTCAAAAAAACAACAACAACAAAAAACTTGCAGAATGAGCATCAGCAGCTTAGAAGGAAATTGTGGAGCCTCACTGGAATCTGCTTTTCAGGAATGCTGTATCACCAACACACGAGACAAGGCACAACACTGTTACAGTCGGGGAGGGGGCAGAGCTGGCTACCGGGTGCTCCCTAAAGCCGTGGCTCCACCCAGGATGCCTCCCCTCTCCCAGAAGTGCCAGCTTCCACCTTGGCTCTCAGGAGATGCGCACTAGTGGCATCTCCGGGGCAGCTGCCAAGAAAGGCGGAGTCAGCATGCGCAGCGGGCACAGGAGGAAGGCTACGTGAACCGATTCCTCCTGCTACAAAGGCTGTGCCGGCCCCGCCGCTCGTCATTTCCAAGCCTTCAAAACCTGCTCCTCTCCCAAGGCACAGGACAGAGCGTGGGAGTCAAGGCCAGTGAGGCCTCAAGTCTGGAAAGGCACAGCAGAAAAAGACTGGGCTCGTGCCCAAGCCTGGCTTCACCATGAATTAGCCGTGCAAGCTCAGTCAACTCAAACCCGGGCCCATTGTCCTTTCTGCCACCTGAGGTCAGAGCACTGTGTCCTGTCCTCAGGTCACCTCTGTATAGTTCTTGCAGGCCTCACTGTGACTCAAGGTCCCAGCTTTGGCTCCTGGGTCTCAGCTGCGTTGGTCAGGGATCATTTCTGGCCACTCTGGGCTGAAGGAAGTGGAGCGCTGGCTACTACTCTCTTGTAAGACAATATTTGGGAGCAAGGGATAGGACTGAGCGGCTGAAATGAAAACACCTGGAGGCAAGAAGCTGTCCACCACCCGGGAGATCAGCCCCACCAGCAGGGAGGAACGGCACACAGATGCGGCTCAAGGAAGGCTCATTCCCGAGGTTTCATGGAGAGCCATGCAAAACCAGGTACCCGGCAGCTCCAGGAAGAAAACCCACACAGAGGCACTCTACCCAGAGGCACTCTTCAGCTAGACAGGCAAACGGTACGTAGCGGCATTCATGCCAGGTGGCAGATGCTCTCTCTGACCATGTCCAAAGTAGCATCTTACACCCCACAGTCCAAACAGAAAGCGGGAGATGAGCCAGGGAGTTGGCTGCTTTCTTCACGGGGGATCATTTGCCAAGAGCTGCTAGAGCCACAAAAAAAACGTCACTAAGGCCAGCCACGGTGGCCCACACCTGTAATCCCAGAACTTTGGGAGGCCGAGGCGGGTGGATTACCTGAGGTCAAGAGTTCAAGACCAGCCTGAACAACATGGTGAAACCCTGCCTCTACTAAAAATACAAAAAAAAAAAAAAAAAATTAGCCAGGCATGGCGGCGGGCGCCAGCTGCTTAGGAGGCTGAGTCAGGAGAATCGCTGGAACCCGGGAGGTGGAGGTTACAGTGAGCCAAGATCACGCCACTGCACTCCAGCCTGGGCGACAGAGCGAGACTCCATCTCAAAAAAAAAAAAAAAAGTCACTAAAGTTGGTATATAACCCCCCACTGCTAAATTAGACTGGCTAGGACAAAAATTTTTTTAATTTTAAAGTGAAAGTCTCTTCCCAAAGGGATCAGAAATAAGCCCAACAGCACGCTGCTACCCCTCCAGGGACCTAGCCCAGGCTCTTCTGGACCCACAGCAGTGGTGACATGCAGTGGATGACACGTGGGCCCCTGTAGCCAGGGCCCTTCCTCCAGCTATCAACTGAGTGACCAGCAATTGGCAGAACAGTCTGGATAAGAGGAGCCCAGGGTGTTCAGATGCAAAGGAAGTGAGAAATCATTTGGGGAGCCAGGGATGAAGATTCAGGGCTCCAAACATCAACTGTGCTTTAACCAGAGTGAAAGCCCTGCTTGCTGTGTTTTAGTTGGGGTTCCTACATAAAGAGGTCGGCTAAATGCTGAAACCTCTCATCTAATCCAATCCTTCCAATGAGGGCTGGGAAAGAAGATGAAGTTGCTGCACATCAACAAGGGGCTTAGGATTGTCCTCTCAAGCACTGCAGCTCAGCCAAGCACAGCACACACCCACCGCGAGTGTCCCTGGAGACTCAGCTCAGGACAAAATCTCCAGGAACTAACAGCAGATATTCCTGTCTATAGATTAATAGAGAAATGTTTGACAATGGATCCTACTTAATAGTTCTTATTCACTCAGGGTTTTTGTGGGTTTTCTTGAGACAGAGTCTAGCTCTGTCACCCAGGCTGGAGTGCAGTGACATGATCTCAGTTCACTGCAACCTCCACCTCCCAGGTTCAAGCGATTCTCCTGCCTCAGCCTCCCAAGTAGCTGGGACTACAGGCACCCGCCACCATGCCTGGCCAATTTTTGTATTTTTAGTAGAGACAGGGTTTCACCATGTTGGTCAGGCTGGTCTCGAACTCCTGACCTTGTGATCCGCCCACCTCGGCCTCCCGAAGTCTCTTAGGGTTTTGATTCACATCGTTTTCAGTTACTTACAGTTTTAAAACTATAAAATGTTTCTGTTGTTCTAAGCAAACAGTGCTCAGAATCTGATGCATTCACACAGACCCCCAGTTTACGCGTTCTTCAATGTGTCTTGCTATCAAGTATCTGACACCTTCTCTCACTTGCTAGCATTAACCTGAGGGATGAGGAGAAGTGCCGGTTCGAAGCGACTTCTAATCCCAGAATGACAACATCTGTCATGAATGGCAGCACAGCTGCAGGACCAGGTCCCGGATCCATCCCAGTTACTCTGGGACTTTGTGAACTTCCGCCCTCAACATCCTGGTCCTTCCTTTCAGATTTTCACATGGGGCCCAGGCCATTCTCAAACTGCTCCTGGAAATCACAGCCAAGCCCAGAAGCCAGTGCCAAGAAACAGCATGAGGACGCCTGCTCCGCACATAAGACATCTCCGGAGGCCACCTGATCTCTGTCCCATTCCACAGCTGCGTGTCCCATGTCAGAGCAGCAGTGACGTTGGAACCTGGCTTTACGGGCCCCAGCTCTCCTCTCATGGGATGGCAGAGACTGAATAAAGCAACGTCAATCCTTTTTTTCTGTGAAATTTATTGTTTCCACATTAAAAGAATTTTTTTGAGGGAAGTATTTTTTGTAACCACATGATGATCCTATACAGCTGCCCAGAGGAGGACACCATCAGAGTCATTAACATGCCGTATGCGTTCTGAATAAATAAAAGCTACAAAGCCCAAGTTATATACAAATATCTCAGGCAATAATGTTTACAAACCTATGTACAATAAAACAAATGTAAACAGTAAATGCAGCATGAGAGTAATCAAAGGATGCACAGGGACAGCCGCCGCTGTTCAGTCCACCCCGGAGCTGGCACCGGCCCACCCTGGAACCAGCCACTCACCCTTCCTAACACAACGGGACGGCCCTTGGAAGAGAAAACAAAAACACTCCAAAGATGTCGTTGAACTGAAGGACGGGAAGGCTGGCGAGAGGCTGCCCGCCTCCCTCACCCCGAGTCTGAGGCGCACGGAGGAGGAGACAGCACAGAGGCTGGGCCTGTGTGTGCCCCGTCCCAGAGGCTCCTGCCACGTGGGGCTCAGACGGGCATTGTGCTGCTCTGGGAGGCAAGTCCATGGAATGGTAGCTGCTTAAGTAAAATCAGAAGGTGCAGAAAATGTTCCCTAATTCAGTAACCTTCCTGACTCTTTGCCAGAAACAGGCCCAAACTGTGAGGGGTGGAGTTGGGGGACACATGATCATGAGCACTGGAGATGCCTGGGTGGGAGCTCAGGAGGGCACACATTGACCTGATTTGGGGGAGAACTTCTAGAAGATTTGCAATGTCCTAAAACACAACTAAATCCTATCAGTACAGCAGAGTGGGGGCTATGGGGCAGGTGTGATGAATGGGTACTTCTGCATCCAGTGACCAAGTAATACACGTATGTATCACCTTGCGACCCACAAAAGTGCAATCATGTGAAACCAACGGCACTACGGCGAGAAGAGAAAATAGCCAGTATTGATATCGCGCAGAGTTCCGGGGCTGGGCAGGGCCCAGTAGCCGCCACTGCATGCAGCCTGCCCTCTGCCAGCCGTGCGGAGGCAGACGGAGGGGCACGGGGCTGGGCCCAGGCACCGAGGGGTGAGGCGTGGGTGTCCTGGGTTGTTGGAGGAGGGCAGGAGCCCCCACCTGGAGGCTAGGCACTCACACACTGAGAGGCAGCATACCCGGCGCTGACGATGGACGCGAGGAGCCCAGACCAGGAGGAGGAGGAGCGGGGTCAAAGCCGTTTACTGCCCTGTGGGAGCAACCAGAGCACAGAAGGGAAGAAAGGGGAAACGAAAAACTCATTTAAAATCACTCACACACAATAGGAAATTAATCTGCTTTCTAAAACTATTCCTCGCAGGCTGTAGGGTCCTGATGGCCCAAGGGGCACTGGCTGCCTGGAAAGCACCAGCTGGTTAGAGAATTGAGCCTTTGGGAATCCTGGGGAACCAGGACCACATGACCTGTTTGGCAACTGCCGCACACTGGCCACGGAAGCCACAGTCCTGATTCTTTCCCCATAAAGCAGGTCTAAATGCCTGGCAATAGGGAACTAGTTAAATAAATAATGGTACAACTGAACAATAAGATATTGCACAGCCATTAAAAACACATTCCACAAGTTTTTTAATAGCATGGGAAAATATTCAGAATGTAACTAACACTAAGTGGAAAAAGATGCAGGTTACCAAACTCTGTAGATTCAATGATATGAAAGAAAAAAAAGCAAATAGTATATATTCTAGATTCTAGACTATAGCCCCTTAGATAGACATTACTATCCATGCAGCTAAATCCACAAAGCAGGGACAGAGGGGGAGTGTGTATAAATAAATGTATATATACATACATTATATATACGCATACACATATATATATACACACACCAACATATATGTACATAGGATCATATATATCATAAAAAGAAAATTTAAGAATCGTTACTTTTCTTCCCTCTGGGCTGTGGGTGAATTTTGTTTACTACTTTATCCTTTTTTAATCATTTTCCAAATCTCCTTACATTTTCCAAATATAATGTATTAATACACGAATATCTTAATAAGGTGGAGAAAAATAACCTTTTAAAAATTGTTTAGCAAGCAACGCCAGATGAGTAGGCTTTTCAACGCAGACTCGTGTGCAGACAGCCCAGCCCAACCCAATAGCCTGCAGCCAGGACCCAGCACCCGGAGCCCAGCGACACAGGGAGCCCCCCAGCGTCCCCATCACGCACCCAGAGCCCAGCGATGCAGGGAGCCCCCCAAGCATCCCCCTCACGCACCATGCAGCGCAGCCACAGGAAGCAGCAAGAGGGGGAGGGAGTGTGCAGCCTGGAACCTCTCTCAGGAGCCACTTCAGCCTTTCCACCTTGAAACGCTTCCTAGGAAAATTTGTCCCACTAGCAATTTGGGAGATAAAGCCAACTACGACAAGGGGCCACACTGCACCACACCTGCCCACTACTGCCCCCACCTACTCATCAGACGGCTCCAGGGAGCTAAATACAGACTCATGGAGAGAGGTTCTCCTTAAAAAAAAAAAATGCCGACACACACTCCCTGCAGAGACAGCTGTTTCGTACACTGACGGGGTGAGGATAACCTCACAGACAAACAGGCATGCAGAGACTTGACAAATAGTCCCTGCCTACTTGGAAGAAACAAAGTTCATGTCTAAAGAAACTAAACTCAGAGTACATATGTGGAGTTTAAATTCCAACCACGCATACAGAGACCAAGAGCCCCAGGAGAAAGGCTCTGACAAATGTCATTTCTCCCTGTTGCACACTGTCCTACTTCGACGACAAACAGCCAGATTGTCTCTTTCCTCACTGGGTTAGGTCTGATTTTTGAGCTTCAACACATTTGCAAGTTTGAAATCATCCTTCCCACTCTCCCAAGGTCACAGGCCTGTGCCTCTTCTGGGGCCAAGGCCATATCCTATTTGCCACGGTAGCCCTCATATAATAGGCTCCATCTGTCTGGCTAGTCCCAGAGTCCCTGACACCTGCTTCTCCTAGAAACCTCAGGGACAACCAGGCAGGCCCCACAAATGCCTGCAGCTCTCAGCACGTGTGAACCTCAGATTCCTGGCCTCACACATCACAGTGGCAGGCAAGCCCCTAAACCTGTACTGCAGACAGTGCCCGGAACCCAGCAGAAAGGGAGCACCATTGGATGCCAAGAAGAATCTGGCACCTGGGCCACGGGGGTGTACAAAAGCAGCAACTAGGAGATGGCTCCTCAAGCAGGTTGAGGATGGGATTCTGGCATTTTCAAGTGCACCGTAAGGAACAACAGGTTCATCCCACTGTTCCACTGCCAAGACAACCAAAGCAAGAGAAGGTCCAGCCATTAGCCTAGGCTCACCTAGTGAGCCACTGATGGGGAAGTCGGGGCCACAGCTGCCTCCAGATGCCCAGGCCAGGACCCTTTTCTAGTCTCCTCCTGGTCAGAGGCCACCTAGCAGCCCTCAGAAGCAACCACTTCGGCACTCCAATGCAGGCCGGCTCTAATGGGAAAAGTAAGTGGTGCAGCCCAGACTATAAAGAGAGAACCGGTAAATTTCTACATGGGCAGAAATGGAACGCTTAATGTGAAGGTGGGTGGAGTAGAGAGGGAACATCAATCCACCAGGGTCTCACCTAGCGCCTCTCTCCTGACTCAAAAAGTAGAAAGTTAAAGAACAGAGAGAGAAGAAAGCTGGCCTTCTAGATGGGATGACAGGTCTAGTGAAGTCCTTCAGAGGCCTGCAAAGCTGTGCATGGGGAAAAGATTTGCAAGAGAAGAGACTCTATATTCAACAGATTCAGTTTCAGGGAGCAGCAAAGAGCCACAGGGCAATGTCCCAGTGCACAAGACAGGACTGAAGGAAGAGTGATGGGGCAGGCTTGAAGATACAGATCTGGGAATCATATATGTAAAAAAAAGGTTCCAGAGCTATAAAATTTCATGATCTTACCACCACAGACTAGTTAAGGAGGCTGAAATATAGAGAATCCAGCTAAGAAAAAGTGCTAAGGTCAGTTGTAAAATGTCAGTGGAAGAAGTGAAAAGGGGGAAGAGCCAAGGCACACTTAGAAGCTACTCAGGACAATAAATCCAAAGCAGCTGAGATGAAGGATGGAAACATTAACTCTGTCAAAGCAGCAAGGATCAGGACACTGGAGAGGGCAGGAGGGTGGGCTCAAGCTATCCAGAAGAGCCTGCAGGCAGGCACACGCCACACCTGAGTCTCCTATTTCAGTGGATGAGTGTGGGCTCAGAGCAGCTCCAGCCTGCTCCAGTTCTCAGCCCAGGCTCTGCAAACTGCAAAGCAGTTCTGAAATGTAAGGCAGATCTTACACACGTCCCCATGTACCATTCCATTTTAACTGGGGACTCCATGCGTGAGCGCAGAGGTGAGGGAATGCTCACACTGGTGCCTGACTTGAGAAAACAGAAGCAACTGGGTAACGGGAAGACCCCCAGTCCCAGGAAGACAGTCAAAGGTGATCCCAGGGCCTGACAGTGACCTCAAACCCCCATCGCCAGACTCTGAAATCAACACTACAGCGCCCTAGCCCATCTCAGGCGTGCCACCTGGCATGCTACTCCCAGCCACCCCAGGACCACTGCAACTAATTTGTTCTTGTTTCTCACAGCTGAACTAATAACGGCATACAGTCAAGTCGAACAGGACCGTGAAAGTTCACTGATGGGCTGTAAGTTGGTTAAAGCTGAGTCAGCCCCATGCAGTTAGTAAAACCAGATTGTTAATGTGTCTTCCACCACACACCAGGATTAAGAAAGAATGAAAAAGAGCACAGCAAACAAATTCAGTTACCCATGAACAACGTGGGAAATATGACTTTTTCTTGCCTAATAAAAGAAAGGAGAACATATTAAACAGTAATACGAATACTATTTCCACATCACGCCCTAAAATTAGTCCATGCCCACCTACACACAGCCCAAAAGAACTCAGAGTGGCTTACAAAAATAGAGCACATGTTACCTAAGAAACTACATAAAGTTATGGGAAAAAAAAGAGTGTTTTTGAGAGACTCCAAGCGACCACACTCCACATGAAATGTGTGTCCTTTCAGATGGTGAGACAAAGGGTGACCATGGTTGAAGGAAACAGCTCGGCACCTGGGAAGCAGGCACGGCAGCCCATGTTTCAGGAACTGGCAGAAGTGCTCACAGACTAGACAAAAACCTGATTCCAAGAAGCCCTCAAGTGACCAGAATTTACAAAATACTTTTGAATCCCACAGAGCAATACGCCCAGTTAAGGTATATTGTTTTATGTGAGAAGGCTTCACTGCATCTGAAGTTTCAGCGGGTGGGAAGGTGAACACATGTACACCCGCACACATGCACACACACACAAACCTACTTTGATGATGTCTCTCCCCCAAACAATCCTGCCGCAGGTTTCTGGCAGCACTAGTGAGCCATCACCACGGTGCTACAGACTCCTCAGGAGTGAGAGGGAGGGCAGGCAGGTTCTGCAGTGGAGGGCTTTTTCAAATGGGGCACTTTTCTCATGCTGAAACTACAAGCCATACTTCTCCACTTCTACACAGACAGGCTTTTGTGTTTTTAACCTGCCAGAGTGTATAATGGACCTGGGAAGTGGAATATCCTGCCCTTCCTTTTGCGGCTGCTACACAACATCTTGGTTTTTATCTGGTCAACAGGTTGGCAGAAGAAAAGCCAGAGGTAAAAAGCCAGACAGGCCAAAAGCCGGAATCGAAGCAAAGCGGCAAGAAAGTGAAAACACAGCAAAACCCACAAAAGAGTTATCCTCAGGAATACAGCAACTAGAAAGACAACTCCAGCAACAGTAGGTTAATATTTCAGTGCGCATACACAATCCACTTATCATATAAGCTAAACACTCACACAACAGCCAGCCCACAAAAGCATATTTCTTAATAGAAAAGGCACAATGTAAAATGTCTACCATTTAAAACCAAAACTCAGTATCTGCAACTGTTCCGATTGGGAAGCACAGCACATTTCCGGGTTCAGCTCAGGAAGTAAAGCCTACACTTACATCTCGGATGCTCTCAAGGGGCAGAGGTGCAGTCAGTGTGCCCAAGGCCTGTTCCTGGCTTCAGCTCACCCTAAGGTCCCCACATCTCCCTCAGAACAGGCTCACCTCTTGGCAATCCCTGCCCTGGTGCTCTGTCTTGGGAGGCAAGTGGCGGGCAGGAGTAGCGACCCTGAACAGACAGTGTTATCCTTCCCTCCTCGTGACTGTTCTTCAGGGCTTCCACACGCACAGGCACCTGTCCGACCTATCCATTTATGATTCACACCTGCTCTCATGAAAGGCACCTGCGGCCCATCAAGAAATACGATTCCAAGGAGAAACTAATAACTACTCTAGTAGAGGATCATTATAAGTTGTAGGGAAAAATAATTAGGCACTGCTTCCAACATTTATGAAGACTACCCTAAAAGTTCTCCATATCATTCAGGGGAAATGGCTACGCTCATGTAAAACCATCCAGTCATTCCATTTATCATTCCACTATAAAAACAAGGGCTGCCGCAAGTCTGCCTGAAACTCCTAAGCCTGAGGAAAATCAATTTTATGTTTACTCCACCCGAGGAAACCCAATGGTTAGAATAAAGTTCTGATTTCAGCTGGGCGCGGCGGCAAGCCCAGCACTTTGGGAGGCTGAGGCAGGAGGATCACTTGAGCCCAGGAGTTTGAGATCAGCCTAGGCAACAGAGTGAGACCCCCATCTCTTCAAAAGAAAACAAAAATTATTTAAACAAATTTTTTAAGAAAGAATAAAGTTCTAATTTGTATAGTGATGTTTTAGGATGTGCTTTTAATACAAAATCCTTAATGAAATGTATATTCTCCAGGGTAAAATCAGGGACAGAGATCAACCAAAACACTCCACTGCAAGGATAAGAGCCTATTCAGAGTGCACCGTGTGTCGAATCTGCTCCTTTACACATGTGCCATAATTATTGAGGACGGCAGAAAATCCCAGCTGCTTTCAGAGATTGTGAGCGTTTCTAGAGTTGTACCTGCTCTGCTTTCAGAGAAAAACAAGCAAGAATTACCTCTTTGACTCAAAGCAGAGACAGTAGCCAAGGATCACGGGTGCCTGTTGGCTGTTTCAATAACAACTACCTTAGGCAACACCGTGAGCATCCCAGGCCACGGGTCCTAATAGTGACCTATATTAAGGCATACTCATACAACCACGTATTACCATGTAGTATTTAAAAATAAATAAGTAAATTGAGGTAGAATAATATACATGACATGGAAAGATAATGGCAATAGAAGTCATGATAGGCACACTGCAAAGCAATATTTAAAGTATAATCCCGTAACTGTGTTACAAACAACTTAGAGCAGATGCATAAAAATATGATTTGGCATGCCTTGGAATAACTGTAAGGAATGCAGAAACAGTGTGAAGGCAGGAAACCATGACTTTTTAGTTCATATACTTCCATACTAACTGAAATTTTTTGCATTAAGGATGCTTCAACCTTAAAACAATTTTATTTCAATCTTCAAAAAAGCCTTAACTTTATACAAAAGTTGTATCTCCTAAACTGTATTTGATCCAGTGCCTAAGTACTTCAGGGCTTTATATTTCTCTAAAATTCTCACAGGGGATGTCTGTTGTAGAGTTTGCATATATTTAATTGTGATGCTGTCTTCTACCCCAAAAAAATATTTCCAAGTCTGCCAGCCTGTAAGCACCTGGAGAACAGGGACCTTATCGCAGTCATTTTGACTCACCAGAGCCTCACACTGCTGCCTTTCAAGAGTCTGCTTCCCAGGACAGAAGCCTCAGATTCAGGGTTCCTGGGGCAACAGACTCCATGGGGACTAGAGGACAACAACAGACGTCATGTCACCTAAGATTAGAATGATAACAGGCTTCGGGAAGGTTTGTCAAGCTGAGTTTACCTTTTCAAGGCTTCATTATGCTCACTTACTAACCTGTCACTTTACTACTCAAAAAATTATCACTTAAAACATTCAGGACTTACCCTTTGTCGAAGAAAGATGTATGCCCTGATCGAGAGAACTTTGTGCCATTGCCATTCAGCACCCCACAGTTAACATTCCCTGAAATATAGGATTTTCGTGATGCTTGGTCCTTTGCAAAATTCCTGCAAGCTGCTAATTTGGATTCTAAAGCCTACAAAAAAGAAGGAGGAATGATATGGTTGTCAAAACAGTAGCTGCACATAAAAATTTGCATTTCAAACCATTTCTATTTCAAGCCTCAAAACTTACTCATCTCAGTTGATAATGGTGGTTAGTTCAGCCATAATCAATCAACTTTCTAATAAAAAGGGGGAATACTTATGCTCCCTTTCTAATGACCTCAGAATATTTTGTTTCCTCCTCTTAGCGTTACTGAAGGAAATACATATAATCTTCCCCTTACAACTAAAAAAAGTGTGGTACAGGAGGTGGAACAGCAGATCCCAGGTCTCTTGACCCTATCCATTGCTCGTTTCTAAGCTGTAGACTGTTAGTTGGTGTTGGGGGGCAGGGTGTGTTTTGGGAGCAAGCACTATTAAAAAACCCAAAAATATCACTTGAGAATTTTTTTTACGGCAGCCAATTCTTTCTCTAGGTTCTTCATTTTTTCTACTGCATGAGAATGGATGAGAACATTTACAACACTTTACATGAAATTAAAAGCTATTTTATTTCTGACAGCACTCTGTAAAATGTTTAACTGATACCCTTTGTCTGTAATTAAATAATTCACCCGCAAATGACACTGGCCTTTTAGCATTTACCTCTAAATTGGGCACCCTTGTTTTGCACCTGTCACCACAACACCTGGCAAGCACAGGGCTCTACCAACGCAGATGACATGGAGAGATCAGGCGTTTCTCATGTATTTCCACACACTCACACTTCACCAGCTGTCTCTTTCCCATAAACACTTTGCCCAAATCAAACCCCTCCTTCTCCGAAAAGAAAAATACTATCCATGGCAAAATATATATATACACAATTCATGTCTATTATCCATGACAGTAAAGGACTGGGAATGCACAGCTAAATTAAATCCACAGGTAACATATACTTCACTTTGAGAATCCATTTGGACCTCCTCCCCCCACATTTCAATAACAGCTATTCAGAAACAGCAACAATGGTTGGGTGCAGTGGCTCATTCCTGTAATCCCAGCACTTTAGGAGGCCAAGGCAGGTGGATCACTTGAGGCCATGAGTTCGAGACCAGCCTGGCCAAGATGGTAAAACCCTGTCTCTACTAAAGAAAAAATAAAAAAATTAGCTGGGTGTGGTGGCATGCACCTGTAATCCCAGCTACGCAGGAGGCTAAGGCACAAGAATCACTGGAACCCAGGAAGCAGAGATTGCTGTGAGCCTTGATAGCACCACTGCACTACAGCCTGGGCGACAGAGTGAGACTCTGTCTCAAAAAAAAGAAACAGCAACAAAAACAGACAAACTTTTTTCTTCTCCTTCTTTCCTATGACAAAAGTACAATGACCTACTAAAATGACAACAGAAAAAAGGAAGAGAGGTAATGACCTTGTAAAACAAACTCTGAATAAGCATAATTCAGCAATAATTCAGCAGCTTATTAAAGCTACACACACACACACACACACAGTAGAAATTGAGAGCCATTCAATTCCTATATTCAAGACACGCATTCATTCAAATCCATATTGAGTATCTATCACACGGCAGGCACAACTTATGTCTGAGACATCAGTGAGACATCCAAGCACGAGCACCAGGTCTTTTGAGGGGGGAAAGGGTGGTCTAGAGATTAAGATTTGAAAGACATCCACACCCAGGGGTGGATGAAACTATGGCTGTGATTAAGATCAGAAAATCAAGGACAGAACTCTGAGTAAAACCAATATCGAAAGGGTGAGCAGATGAAGACCCAACAAGATGACTAAGAGGAATGGAAAGAAAGTTGGGAGCAGCCATGAAACAGCATCAGAGAAGGAGAGAAAAGAGGGCATTAAAAAAAAAAAACGGTCAGTGTTGAATGCTTCAAGTAAAATTAGGACAGAACGGCATCCACAGGATTTGACAGCACTGAGATCACCAGTGAGCAGTTTTAGCGGCATAAGCAGGGGACAGAGCCCAGGCTAAAGTGTCTGGGGCGTGTGCATGCAGTCAAAATGCTAACAATAAATGGGGACACGCTTTCAAGAAGCTTTAAAGTATGTAATATGTACCACATAAGTATTACATATATTTATATGGATAACATGTAATACAGAAATATCAAAGTATACCTGTATAACACATAACATATAATGTGTAATACATAAACATTATACATAAATATTAACGCATATATAGTAAAAGGCTGAAATACAGGAGAAATAAAGATTTAAGGGTTGGAAGAAATGAGATCCAAAGCACAGATGGACAAAATTAGCCACGGACAGGAATTTGCACTTTTACCACTGGGACAAAAAGGAGGAATGGCTACAAATAGAGGTAATAATAGGAGAGTAATAACAAAAGATGAGAAAAGAAATCAAAGAAGCTTAAAACAAATGGCCTTGATTTTCTCTGTGAAGGCATGCAAGAGTGGAGAAGGGCTTCCAGTTCAAGTCAGTGGACAAAGTCGTGTAAAGAGGCATAAATGAAATATTCATAAAAGCCAACAAGGGCTGGTGGACACCAGCAGACCCAAAGTGTTGATGACTTTTGGAGGTCGTTATTTTGATAACTCTTAGAAGACGGATTGTCAGCTGAATGTGTAAACCATACAAGGATGCCAAATTAAACTTTCATGCACCACTTCTGAATAAATTAAAGTACTAAAGCAAAACAAACAAGGAACAAAGACAGACAACAACGTGGGGTGAGGAACAGGCAGAACTAACCCAAGAGTAAAATGGAGAGAAATTCGAGGGCGACAACAATGCAGCAGCCCTCGAAGCCCATCAGGGCATCCCACAAAGAGTGTGAAGAAGAAGCTAGAAGATCCGAGAGCAAAGAAAGGTGTAGGTTTCTTCTACTCAAAAGAAAGAAGGGGAAACAGAAATGCTAGGAAAAGAAAGCAGCGTACAGTCAGCTACAATACGAAATATTTAAAAACCCAGTATGATTTTGAGTAAATTACAGTTAAAGAACAAAATTCTCAAAACACATTTGTTGAATGGCACAAATATAAAGACCCATCTGAAAGTCCAGCATCTCCTCTGTGATTACACAGTAAATAACACATATATGTGCATTGTTACAAATGCTGTTTGACTACTTTTCCATTTTTAGAACCAACCAACAGAGAGCTCACACAGCTAGTAGAGGGCTCAGAAAAGGAAAGCGGAGTGGGAGTGTGGTGGGGAAGAAAGGGAGAGAACAGCGAGTTAAGATATAGTCTAATACTGGCCAGACATGGTGGCTCATGCCTGTAATCCCAGCACTTTGGCAGGCCAAGGCAGGCAGATCACCTGAAGTCAGGCGTTCAAGACCAGCATGGCCAACATGGTGAAACCCCGTCTCTACTAAAAATACAAAAATTAGCCAGGTGTGGTGGCATGTGCCTGTAATCCCAGCTACTCAGGAGGCTGATGCAGGAGAATCGCTTGAACCTGGGAGGCAGAGGTTGCAGTGAGCTGAGATCGTGCCGCTGCACTCCAGCCTTGGCAACAAAGCGAGACTCCGTTCTCAAAAAAAAAAAAAAAAAAAAAAAGATATAACCTAATACATTCAGAAACAAAAGTTCAAGAATGTTAAAGTAATTTTTTTAAAAGAACAAAAAATAAAAATAAAAATATCTTTGCTTAAAGTTGAGTAAATCAAGATAAACAGAAAAATAAGCACATGATTTCAAGTTATAAAGACAAATACTCCAACATAGAGGATTTTAAAATGGTTATCTTGGGAGTGAAGAAAGATTACTCTATGTACTGTAGGAACGACCTGTGCACTTTACTTTGTATTTTAACCTTAAAAATGCAGGTTTAATCTGATGGTTAGAAAATAACCCCTATGATGAGCTGAAACAGGCAAACATAGGACCTGTGTCTTGGCCTCCCATATCTGCTTTAGATAAAGTATAATGCAATTTCTACATTTTTTAGAAAGTGTCACACACGAAAATAAGTGAAGGGGGTAGTAGATAGTGGGAAATGGCAATGGTTGATTACTGAAAGGAGAGGTAAAACTCACTAAGGGAAATAGTAATGGGAGCTAATGCTAGAAATGCTGACTTGATAGTGGCATAAATCCACATGGTTCTGCAACTGTTTCCAGTAATTCAGACTGCAGATCTCCTTTGTGGCCAGAGAGACCATGAAGTCAACAGTGACAGAGTAAGAGATGTGTGAGATCACAGATGAATAGAAAGGAAGTGAAAGCAAGAGATGGCTGATAAAAACAAACACACTAAAAAATGGGGTAATACTCTTGATGAGGTTAAAGAGTAGGTATGGTACACAGTAACACACTGATTAAGCAGAAAAACGGGTTTAATTTTTTTTTTTTTTTTTTTTTTGAGATGGAGTCTTGCTGTCTGTTGCCCAGGCTGGAGTGCAGTGGCTCGATCTCGGCTCACTGCAACCTCCGCCTCCTGGGTTCAAGTGATTCTCTTGCCTCAGCCTCCCAAGTAGCTGGGATTACAGGCATCTGCCACCATGCCGACTAATTTTTGTATTTTTAGTAGAGACAGGGTTTCACCATGTTGGCCAGGCTGGTCTTGAACTCCTGACCTCAGGTGATCCACCCGCCTCAGCCTCCCAAAGTGCTGGGATTACAGGCGTGAGCCACCGCGTCCGGCTGGGTTTAATATTTCAGAAGCGAAACTGTTCTGGAATACAAGGCTCACACCAAGGAGAAGGCACTGAAGTTGAGGTGGCCAAGGAAATAAGGTGGGCAAGACTAAAAGTAGAGAGTAATGCCATGAGCCAAATGTTAAAGTCCCACAAACACAAAACAAAGGAATGACCAGGAAGACGGTAGACAGCAGCAAAGACCAGGATGAGGGTGGTAGAAGACACACAGCAGGCCTTAGACAAAGTATTCTAGACAAGGACAGAGGCATCGTGCTGTTGAAACAGGAGTGGGGAACAGGAAGAATGCCCCGGTGGGAACCTCAGAGTTCAAGGTACAGGCTCTTCTGCAGGGGCATCATGAAGTGTCATCTGGACTTGGCTAGTCAATGGATGCTTTTGCTTCTGAGCTTCATGACAGCCTTTACCACAGGAAAGTATCCTTTCTTTCTTCCCTCACTTCAAATTAAGAAATAATTCAATACCTTGTCAGTGGAAACACCTAGTGATAAATAATTGAAACTTACCCCTACTTTCCGTAAGAGATCCCCCACGATGTTTAGTGCTGATATCCTAGCAGAGGGAGTTAGTGGACTGGTACCAAAACCATTTGGTATAGCTAGAGAAAAATAAAAGCTGAGTGATTACACTTGCAGTTCCCTTTACATTTGGGTTTTGTTGTTGATGTTACAAAGTAGTGTAACACTCAATACAATATCAACAAACTACTTCAAACTATGGATAAAGTATAGATACCATAAATAGGCTAAACCACTGTCCAATTGGTGGATATTTACATTATATCAAATTTTTCGCCATTATAAGTAATGCTACAAGGACATATACTCTTAAACATCTAGACAAGTATTTCTGGAAAAGAGATTCCTAAAAATAGAACTGCTGGGTCAGAACATATGCCCATTTTTTTCACCTTAACAGACACTGCCAAAATGCTCTCTAAAAAGCCTGTGCTAATATCAGCAATCTATGCGGTGGTGCCCTTGATAATATTAGATATTATCTTTTTTTTTTTTGACAATTTGATAGTCACGTTTTTTAGTTTCTATTTCCATAGTAACTAGTCATTTGAATCTCTTCTGAAAATCAGCTGTTTAGTCTTTGTACATTTCTCTACTGGTTTGTCTTTCCTGTAATCAATTTGTAAGAACTCTATACATTCTGGATGTTCACCCTTTCTCTTATAGATGTTCTATCTCTCAGCGTGACATTCATCTTGTAAACACTGTGTTTCGGTAGGAGAACCTTTGGCTTTTCCATCTTAATGTCATAATGTTTCCCATACTTTCTCCTAGTATTTTTCTGATTTTTTTACATTTAGATCATTTAATTCACCTAGAAATTATAGTTGTCTATAAGATACATATCTAAATTTTTTCCTCCAAATGGAGAGCCAATTGTCCTAGTATCATTTAGGGAAAACTCATCTCATCTGAAATAGCACTATAACTATAAACTAAATTCCCTAAATATATGAATATATTTCAGTTCCATTGAACTATTAGCCTATTCTATCAGAAGTATGCTACTTTATTATAATGTTAAAATATATTTTGAGATCTCAAAAGGCAAAGATCCCTCTTGTTATTAGCCCATTTCAAATTTTTCTCAGCTGTTCTTGCACATTTACTATTCCAAAATAATTTTAATATCAACATATCAATTTTTTAAATCCTATTAGGATTTTTATTAGAAGTTGAAATTACAGATTGACTTGGGGAGAATGGATATTGTAAGAAAATTAAGTCTTCCCATTCAGAATCATAGTATTTACCATGATATTTACCCATATCTTCTTCCACACTCAGTAAGGTTTTCAGTCGTGCACATTTCTTAATTTTTAAGAGATAATATGACATCATGATTAACGGCTCTTGAGCTGAACTACTGTATTCAAATCCAGTTCAGCCACTGGGTAAGTGACCCATATGTAAGAGGGGGCAAATAACAACTACCTCATCATAAAGATGTTGTGAAGTTTAAATTAATGTACTTTAAAAATGCACGTAGTAAGTACTCAATAAAGGTTAGCTATTATTTTTTATGTTTGTTTTCCACAGAGTGCTAATCAGCAACGAAAATACTTGTGTGGCTTTTTTGTTGTTTATTATCCTTCTTCTCCTCAAGAATATAATCTCATTGAAGGTAGGGGCTTTGTCTTACCACTGTGCTCCCAGCATCCAGAATAACACATGACACATAACAGGCGCTCAACGTGATATAAAAAACCGCTGTACTGTTCTTGGCAGGGATTTCTAGATCTCATTTTTCCCTATTCAAGTTTTACATTTTAGGTGTTATTAAATCTGTGCTTTTATGGTAAGTTGCTTTAAATGCTTTTTAGAAACAAACATTGTAGGCTGGGCATGGTGGCTCATGCCTGTACTCTCAGCACTTTGGGAGGCTGAGGTGGGTGGATCACCTGAGGTCAGGAGTTTGAGACTGGCCTGACCAACATGGTGAAACCCCATTTCTACTAAAAATACAAAATTAGCTGGGTGTGGTGGCACACACCTGTAATCCCAGCTACTTGGGAGGCCAAGGCAGGAGAATCACTTGAACCCAGGAGGCGGAAGTTGCAATGAGCCAAGATCGCACCATTGCACTCTAGCCTGGGCAAAAAAAGCAAAACTCTGTCAAAAAAAAAAAAAAAAAAGAGAAGAAAAAGAAAAGAAAAGAAAGAAAGGAAGAAAGAAAAAGAAAGAAAGAGAAAGAAAGAAAGAAAGAGAAACAAACATTGTAAAAGGTAAAATACAATTAAAGACAGACCACTTCAGAAAGATCAGCTCTAAGATCTTACCGATTTCTCTGACCACCTGCTGCTGCTCACAACTCTGTGCTTTCTTGTAATGAAATTGCAGTGATCTAGTACACAGCAGCTTTTAGGTTAGCCAGTGAAAATTCATGCTATTGGTTCCAGCCTAAAAACATATCTATTAAGCAAATATTACTGCCATAGGGTTGGCACACCTCATGCCGTGCCACAGCAGGCTCCATGTCCTTTTGACTCCCCAAGTCCCTGAATGAAAACTCTAACGGGCTATTAAAAAAAAATGTGCACCACCTGTGGGTGTCACCGCACCTGAGGCTTTTCACTATTCTGATTCGTCTTCAATTAAAGGATTTTCAGATCTGCATAATTCTAATCAGTAACATAAAAGTAAAACTTTGTTAGTCCTCAGGTGTAATTGTGAAATCTTCAAATATACAAGCAGCTCTTCTGAAAAACTGACCGTGAGGGCTCCTGATGACTGCTAATAATCTATTGCCTGCCCTTTGTCCTCAGCAGTAAACCTAGCGCAATTAGTAACACCTTACAACCATACAGCACCTTCACATACCTTATCTGATATCATCTCGTAACAAGGCAAAGACAAGTTGAATTACCTACTCAAGGGTTACTGAGCACTTGAAATGTGGTTAATGTGACAAAGAAACTGAATTTTATATTTTATTTCATTTTAATATAAATTTAAATAGCCACATGGGCTGGTGACTATTGAGTAGCACAGACAGAGAGAGCTCACTGTACTAGTTGCCCACATAGCATTCTAAAAGATAAAACCCTATATTTTAAAAAGGGTGGGATGACAGCTTCAATATAGGGTGGAAAAAAAAAGCAAGGGGGGATGAGAGTAGCAGAAATATGAACTACGAGCTGCAAAATCTAAACAAATCTCAATTGAGAGCTTTAAGATTCCATTTTAAGGTTCTATCTAGTGGCTACTAGGTGGTTTTTCTGCTTATCCGGATTTTAAAAAAACACACTGGTTCATGGCAATGTGAGTATTCTGTATGTGCCAATCATCAATTACTCCGAACAATGCTTTTGAAAATGGCAGCTCCTGAAGCATGTAACAGAATGGGCATGTCCATCCAAGCCGGTCTTACATGAGTCTGAAAGATAACTTAATGATTCTCTGTACATTCTATGTAGAAAGGCCTCAGGTCTCCCATGATATGGAAAGTGGCAAAAGGAAGAAATAAAACTGTGTTTAAATATGATCCCCAAATTTGCATGTGACAAAGAGATGTGCACAAACACACACAAGCACACAATAGAAAAAAAAACTCAAAATGTTAATGGTGGGTGCCTGTAAGTGGTAAGATAACATGATTTTTATTTTCTTTTTCTGTGTTTTTAAAATTTTCTACCTAAACATACGGCTGTAATCACAAAATCTATTGCTATCATCAAAAAATAAAC
The DNA here is from genome assembly GCF_000001405.40 of Homo sapiens. Lineage (NCBI taxonomy): Eukaryota > Metazoa > Chordata > Mammalia > Primates > Hominidae > Homo > Homo sapiens. The sequence continues at coordinate 8,451,189 of NC_000017.11, read as the reverse complement.
TTTCCTTAAAAACCTTTAACTTTTAAAAATCTCATCTTAAATGTAACCATCATTTCACTGTTTCCTATATATTAGTGGCCTAGGAAAACAATTCCTTCTTCTATTTCACATAGCACTAGACTTCACCAACTTTTAAACTAAAATTACTCTTTAAACCTTAGCAACCGCCTTCAGCAACAAACCCCCGTAAGCTGATCATCTAACACATCGCCTCAAAAAGAAAAGACATTACAAACCTTTCGGTGAAGGAAAAGTGTTCTCCGTTCCTTTGCCAACAGGGGTAGCTGGCAAAGAAAGTGATGCTTGGACGGCGGAGTCCATCTTTTCACAGTCTAGAGTTGGAGAGCTAGGAGCCGACTTTCTAGTTACTTCCTGTTGTCTTTCCCGAACTGCTAGTTCTTGCCTTAAATCTGTAAAATATTGCAAACAAGGGCAGGAATACTCACTAGAGGGAGCAAATATATCAAGCAAAGTGACATCTAAAATGTCATAAAGGTCTTCTTCCTAAATTACTATTTCTCAAAAATGAATTTCCTATTTAAGTATAACTTTCATTTCTAGGGGAATAAAAATGGCAAAACTACTGTCTAAATGATCTTTTAGAATTTAAAAATGCTATAACCTGAGAGAAGTTACTTATGCTTATATGCAAAAAGAAACAGTGCAGAGTCCACAGTACAATTCACACAAAAGTAAATATTCTTCACCAACTTATTTGCTTTTATTTTCAAATGATGTAGTTTTGGGGTTATTGCAAAATCAACTAAGTGCATTTTTGTAATTTTAAATGGGCTGGCATTAACTATTATCACTATGAAATATTTACTTTTAGAAAAGAAGTATTCAGAACGGTTTAAATTTTTCTCATGCTTTCAAATATTGAGCGTTTTTTTTTTTTTTTGAGACGGAGTCTCACTCTGTCGCCCAGGCTAGAGTGCAGTGACGCAATCTCGGCTCACTGCAACCTCCACCTCCTGGGTTCAAGCGATTCTCCTGCCTCAGCCTCCCAAGTAGCTGGGATTACAGGTGCCCGCCACCACACCCAGCTAATTTTTTTTTTTGAATTTTTAGTAGAGATGGGGTTTCACCATGTTGGTCAGGCTGGTCTCGAACTCCTAACCTCAAATGATCCACCCGCCTCAGCCTCCCAAAGTGCTAGAATTACAGGCGTGAGCCGCCACACCCAGCCAATGTCGAGTTTTTAACCCAAAATTAATGTTATCTTTTCCAATTATGCAATTTAACTTACAGAATATTTGCTTGTGTTAAAAAAGGAACAAAGTCATCCCCCTTTTGGGTATGTATCCAAAAGAATTCAAAACAGGATCTCAAAGAGATATTTGGACACCCATGTTCACAGCGGTATCATTCGCAATAGCAAGAGATGGGAGCAACTCGATGTCCATCCACAGATGAACAGATAAAGAAAATGAATACATACAATGGAGTATCATTCAGCCTTAAAAAAGAAGGAAATTTTGTCACATACTACACATGGATAAACCTTGAGGACATTATGCTAAATGCAATAAACCAGTCACAAATACTGTATAATCTCCCTTATATGAGGTATCTAAAGTAGCTGAACTCATAGAAAATAGAACTGTGGTTGCCAGGGGCTGAAGGGAAGGGAAAATGGGTAGTCACTATTCAATAGGTATAGTTTCAGTTTTGCAAGATGAAAAAGTTCTAAAAATTTGTTTACACAACAATTTGACTATACTTAACACTACTGGACTGTACACTTTAAAATGATTAAGAAGCCAGGCACAGTGGCTCACACCCATAATCCCAACATTTTGGGAGACAGAACCAGAAGGACCATTTAAGGCCAAGGGTTCAAAACCAGCCTGGCCAACATACTGAGACTGTCTCCACAAAAAAAATGTTTTCTTAATTAGCTGGATGGGGCCAGGCGCGGTGGCTCACGTCTGTAATCCCAGCATTTTGGGAGGCCAAGGCGGCCGGATCACGAGGTCAGGAGTTCGAGATCAGCCTGGCCAATATGGTGAAATCCCGTCTCTACTAAAAATACAAAAATCAGCTGGGTGTGGTGGCGGGCGCCTGTAATCCCAGCTACTCGAGAGGCTGAGGCAGGAGAATTGTTTGAACCCAGGAGGCGGAATTTGCAGTGAGCTGAGATTGTGCCATTGCACTCCAGCCTGGGTGAAAGTACGAGACTTCGTCTCCAAAAAAAGTTGACTCTAAGCTTCTTCTGGCATAGGGACAGTAAGGTAAGGGAGGATAAATACAGTTGTCCCTCAGTATACATGGGGATTGGTTCCAGGACCCCCACCTACACCAAAATTGGCGCATACTGAAGTCCCACAGTCAGCCCGTATATATGAAAAGTCAGCCCTCCATATACAGGGTTTTGAATGCCGTGAATACTGTATTTTCAATCCACATTTGGTTGAAAAAAAATCAGAGTATAAGTGGGCCCACACAATTCAAACCCATGTTGTTCAAGGGTCAACTGTATTCTTTAAGTTATAAATTTTACCTCTTGCTTCATCCTTTAACCTCTGTACAGAGACCAACAAAGATTCCTTTTCATCAAGTTCACTTTCTAAAAATGCATTTCGTTCAATGGCCTGGTTTAGCCTTTGTTCAAAGTCTTCCAGTGAAACTATTGTTGCCCTAAAAAGAAAAATTAGAGTACATGAATTAAATAAATAACATGTGCAAACAGATAGTACAAAAGGAAACTGTCAGTTTATCTCGTGACATTTCCTGACCTAGCCAGCCTGGCCCCAATCAAAGAAGATGATCTTGCCCCTTCCTGACCACTGCTGGCACGTAGTGTCTCTATCAGTTGGGCAATATATACAATACATTCTTTTAAATTCCCATCTATTCCTTAATGTTCCCTACAGAAAGGCTATTTGTTACACTATTTATATCTCCACTGTGTTTTGAACACAATACAATCAAGTTTACACATTTTCAGAAAGAAAACTTTTCAAAACTTGTAATATATGTAAGAGTTTGTTTAAAACATTAAGTCCCAAGTCAGGGAACCTAAGGCCAATTCACACTGACTTCCTAGAACTAAATCAAAAGGAAAACCGGAACTTTCCACACCTAAGTAAGAAAAGGACCAGAAGCTATTCCCTTTGCTTTCTGCAACCACTCAGACATTTGCATAGGGTGTCACTTTGTAACTTCACTTCAGCCTCTGATTGGTTCCCCCACTGCCCCCCCCCCGCCCACCTCCCCGCAACCAATCTGGCTGCTGCCTCCTCTATGCCCTGGAGCAGCAGCTTGCCCACTTTTTTTTACTAGGGTATTAACATAGTGAATGTACATATCTGTCACCCCCAAGGGTAGTGACCAGACTAGCTCCGCATCTGTAAGTTTAGCATCATGTCAGTCACTTAAGACTCACTGGATAAATATTAAGGAAGGAAATACCAGGAAACAATTATAAAGTAATAGGAATTAAGTTTGGAATGGTTAAGAAACAACTAATTACACATGCATAAAAGTTTGGCAACAGTGATAGCAAGCCACTGCACGTTGTTCAGAAATTTGAACTGAAATCAACATTTTAAGAAAATTCATCAGTCAGTATTAAAAGAGAATAAAAAGGAACAGAAATATAAAGATATATCAGCTAGAGGATAACTACAGAATCCAGGTATAAGATATGAGGACCTACAGGAAGTATGGAAGTGTTAAGAGCACAGAGGGAAGATGGGGGAATGCATGAGACAGTTTAAAAAATAAATAAATACACAAAACCTAGGCTGGGTGCAGTGGCTCATGCCTATAATCCCAGCACTTTGGGAGGCCAAGGTGGGCAGATCACTTGATGGCAGGAATTCAAGACCAGCCTGGCCAACATGGCAAAACCCCGTCTCTACTAAAAATACAAAAATTAGCTGGGTGTGGTGGCACATGCCTATAATCCCAGCTACTTGGAAGGCTGAGGCACAAGAATCGCTTGAATCTGGGAGGCAGAGGTTGCAGTGAGCCGAGATCATGCCACTGCACTCCAGACTGGGCGACAATGTGAGACCCTGTCTCAAAAAACAAAACAAAACCAATAGGATCAACCACAGTATATGAAAGAAGGAAAAAAGAAAAATTGAAAGAGAAAGCTTTGAAGGGCGTTATCTGGGAGATGAGGATTTGGGGTTCCCTTCCGTCCGATGAGTTACAGGTGACATGAAACACCAACAGGAAATGTTCTGGGACTAAGATCTAGGGGAAGAGCCTAATAAAGATTTTAATCACTAATTACCAAGGTGGTTTTTTTCTAACAAAATGCAGTCATTCGTTTACCTTTTGGCTCGCTCCAGGTCGTCGTTGGCCTGCTCCAGCTCTCTCACATACTTATGCAACTGCTCCTTAATGGCCCGAGTCTGACTTAAATCATCTTCTAACACTGAGACCTGCTTATAGCTCTGTGCATATTGATGCTCTAGCTTCTCCTGAGGGCATCAGTATAGGAAAGTACATGTCATTAATATACAGTTCTCTTTACTAAAGAGGTAACTCAAGTTAAAAGGGTGGGGGGGAACCCAAGGAATTTACCCACACTCTTGTAACAATTACTTTAAAAACAACTAAATGACACATTCATTCTAAGTGCCTAAACTCATGTTAAATTTTGTCAACCATTCTCCTCTCAGAAAGAAACCCAATAACAATCTCTCTGAAAAGAACTAATATAAAAAATCCTTGCCTCAAAATCCGCAAACTTGTTAAGGAAACCTCTGGATTTTCAGGCTAAATGCGGCCCAGGGTAAGCACAGAGTTCACATTCCCTACCTTTCACCTGCCCATCCAACCTTCCCAGAACCCACCCACTCCCCAGACACTAAATACCCTCAAGCATGTGGCTACAGTAGATGGTAAAGGGCAGAGAAAGGGGTGAATCCTTTTGCTCCTGAAAATTCCTTTTTAGAAGGGAAATTTTTAACCCTAACTAAACTCCAAAACTGAAAGGGCTATGAACAATAATGAAATAAATGCATATTCCCTATCAATATAATTGTAAACATACTGCAGAATGAGGCAACCTATCTGTCAAAACAAATAATCAGGCAGCTTTTGAAAATTATAGGAACTATAATATAATATAGCTAGGAACATTATAGCTAGAAAAGTGACAACTACAAAGTTTCTAAGTGAACTCCTAAACTCTAAACCACCTTTTCCCCTGGTTCCGTGAAAGAAAACATTTTATTCAAAAATTCACTTTAAGCGTTTTTTTCAAACTATTTTTTGTCGCCAGCTGCTCTTAAGCACCTGAAAAACATATTTCTCATTTTAATAAAACTCAACACATTAGACCCCAGCGTCTACTGCTGCAATTACCTTTAATGCCTCCACTTCATATTTCAGTCTTTGGTTATCAGCCTGCAAGTCTCTATTTCTTTGTTCAGCCTGTACTAATTGTGCCTCCAACTCTGCTTCTAATTCTCTGCTTCCTTCCTGGAATTCAACTAGCTCATCCCGAGCTTCCTGGAAGCTAATCAGAAACAAAGTGGGAAAGACGAGTTACACTAAGAACCACAAGGATTGTCTTGGAGGTGATTATAGAGCAATTCGATAATTTTTGCTTGAATGCTAATGCTCTCATAAAATATACTAAAGACAATCTGTTTTGCATCTCTTACTGTATATATTCAGGGTTCAATGAAAACGACAAGCCCAAAAAGGAGCCACAAGTCAGTGATTACAATATTTATGAAAAGTAAGGCTACGTGGCTCAATACCATTAGCTTCTTCCACCACAGAACTCAGATGCGAGAAAAATGCATTTTTACTTTCATTAAAGTAACAAATTTGGCATTTCCTTCTACCATATTCAACAGAAATCACACATATTTTCACATCACAATAGAATCGTTGCATGTATCTCTAAATATATTTATTTTCATGACTATTTCAAAATTAGGTAGTTATTACATTCACTTCTGTATCTTTTTTTATTTAATGCATTAATAGAGAAGTACATGTTACTATGCCATAAATTAGTTTAATATTTAGATAACTTTTTTCAATATAATTGATTTTCTTTGTAATTCTATTATTCTATGCATTTAAAAATATTATGCTGAGGAGTCCACAGGCTACCCCAGCCCATTAAGACATCTATGACACAGAAAAAGATTAAGAACCCTGCCATAGATACACACCTTTCATATCCACTGGCACAATAGAATAACTGACTTCGGTGATAATAATGAAAGGGCAGTAAAAGGTTTGATAAGACTTAGTAAACTCTGTTAACCAAAATAGGAAAATGTATCAATATTTTATTTAGCAAGATCCCATTTTTAAAAAAGAAATTTGAGACAAGTTTTGTTGCTTAAAAGGTTGTTGCCTGAAAGTTCTCCCAACCAAATAACTGAAATTTTATAAAACGTTCCATGCCCCTGAAGCTTCTCCCCCTCCCTCAAAGCTTTGCTGGCTCCAGACACTGATCATGCTTGCCTGAGGAGAACGTAAAGTCTGTTCTATGGAGCCCCAGACAGCTTATCAGAATCTCCAAATGACCAAAATGATGAGGCAGAATCAGTGCATGCAAAACGGGCCAAAGATGGCCCCGCCTACTAAAAAGCATAGAACAGGTAACAATCAGAAGAAATCATAAATGACAGTTTTCCTACTATTTTAATAATTTGAACAATATAAAGACTTATGGCATGTTTACACTATTTAAATACAACCCATGTGGTGACTGTTTGTAGAATCTCAATCCTAGAATCCTAAATCTGCAATTCTAAATTTAGCTTTATGTTAAAAAGAAAAATGCACAAACAAGACACGGTGTATTCCAAATGCCCTCCCCTACTTTTAGTGTGCTTTCCAACATTACCTTTGCTTATACTTCAAGGAAAGTTCCTTCCAATAAGCAGTTTCCTCCTTTAAACTTGAAAAATCTGGTATATCTTCACCATCCATGATCAAGAAAGCCTGTGAAATATTAAAGACAAACTTAACAAATTAGAGAACAGAGAAATCTAAGCACAAGCATAAAATCTGGGACAACACTGAACTGCAGCATTTTGGAGGGAATAAAACATGAGAGATTCCAGTGGTTAACTCTCTTCAAACTCAGGCACGTCAATCACTCCACTGCTCCACTCTCAGGGACCACCAATATTGTGAATGAGATCATGACAAAGGTCCTTTGATACAAAGCGACAGGAGGCACTTTTGGTTGCAGCATAGGCGCTGGGTGACTTGGGCCCACAGAATCATCCTGCACACAGAGTTGCAGCAGTTGGTTTAAGGCCACGTGGTCTTCTGCGAATCGGGAGACAGAAACAAGCTTATTGTCAGAGATGCTGCTACCGCATGCATGCTGCCCTTCCCAGGTATACAACTGCTTCAAAACATCTGCTTGGAACATTTTATGCCAGGTGACCCTACTAGAAAATCAGGCACCACATTCCCAATAATTTACTATTATCAAATCTCTAAAAACCTCCTGTTAATCATCTTTTAAGTCCAAAGCTTCCTTCCAAAAGCCCACTAATCTCCAACTTCAATGATCTCTCTCTCTCATCCTGGTTCTTCTCTCCCAAGGCATTCAGAGAGGAGAAAAAAAGCGATTTAATTAACTAACATTTGGACTGGCTACCTACAACTCCCAACTGATCGTCAGGCCCACTCTAGAGGCATGCCTACTGCTTCCTAGCACCCCCTCCCCAGGCATCCCACTCTATATTCTGGCAGTACTGTTCGAAACTGTCTTAACACACCAGGCTCTTTCAGGCATGGAAAACTACTCCAGGTTTTCTCTACCTGGAGTGGCTCCCCTAAATAGGAAAACTACTATTTATCCTTAAAACCTAATTGTCATCTTTTCCAGAGAGGTTTTCTTGCCCTCAACTGGACAGCATTAAAATCTCTTGCATTCTTTGCTACCTCTGTACCCCACACATGCTTTCACTGATATTATTACCACAGGGCAATGCATTTGCTTACACCTTTGTGTTGCCTGTTAGGCTGGCTTACTTATTTCCGTCTCAGCCCAATGCCTGCACAATAGTGGATACTCAATGATATTTACTGAATTAAACCATAATTGATTCAACCTATTCCATACTAGGCAGCAAGAACTCAAGACCAGCTTTAAAAGTAAATTAATAGGCTAGGTGTGGTGGCTCATGCCTGTAATCCCAGCACTTTGGGAGGCCGAGGCGGGCGGATCACGAGGTCAGGAGATTGAGACCATCCTGGCTAACACGGTGAAACCCCATCTCTGCTAAAAATACAAAAAATTAGCCGGGCGTGGTGGCAGGCGCCTGTAGTCCCACCTACTCGGGAGGAGAATGGTGTGAACCCGGGAGGCGGAGCTTGCAGTGAGCCAAGATTGCGCCACTGCACTCCAGCCTGGGGGACAGAGCGAGACTCCGTCTAAAAATCTAAAAAAAAAAAAAAAAAAAAAAAGTAAATAAATAAAAACCTGGAGATGCATAGAACTTGGAGTTTATCTAGCACAAGCCACTCAGGAAGGTTTAGCAAAAAAAAAAAAAAATCTTTTTAAAGGAATGAACGGTTAAATCTCTCCACATCATCAAACATAGAACACAGTGGAAGTTCAATAAATATTTGAATTGAGGCTGGACACGGTGGCTCATGCCTGTAATCCCAACACATGGGGAGGCTGAGGCAGGAGGACTGCTTGAGCCCAGAAGCAATGAGGCTGCAGTAAGCCATGATTTTGAGGCTGCAGTGAGCCATGATTGTGCCACTGCACTCCAGCCTGGGCAACACAGCAAGACCCTGTCTCTAAAATAAATAAATAAATATGTGAACTGATTTATAATCATCCTTTCAATATTCCCTCTTGACTTTCAAAGTACCACTTTATTAACATCTGAATTCCTACTTCAGGAATGGAGTAAGCAAAAAGATGTGCGGGTAGTTTACTTCCACCTTACAATGTACCACCATATATTAAATCAATATTAGAAAACCTATCATTATCAGTTAGACAAAATTATTAATCCGATACATGGGCAGCCACATTCAGTCACTGACATAGGCTCAGTACAGGCTCCACATCAAAGAATAGGGAGTTGATGGGATTTATTGGGAAGAACCTTAGAGATAACCACTGCACACTAGCTACCTCAAATCATCATTATCCGGCCCTGAAATATAAATGGACAACCAAGAGCCATCTGACAAGTAAGAAAACCCAGTAGCATGAATAAGAAAATTTTAGGACCTAGTGAACTGAGAGGAAACAGACAATTCAGGAAATGAGATTTTTTCTTATACAAGAACTCAGAAGGTACTAGACAAAGACTTAAAAAAAAAGGTCAGGAGGGCTACCTCCTACACACTTCCTGAGACAAGTACAAAAGAAGGGAGAAAACCATGACCTGGACAGCATGGGATGCAGGAAATAGGGGCTCCAACCTAGGGCTGCAATGAAAAGTCCCAGGATGAAGCCTAGTCCATCAGGCCCATAGAATGCTTCAGACGGATGACACCAAGAAAAATAAGGAATCCCATAGAACAGATAGCATAGAGCACAAGTGAGAAGCTAGATATATTTGAGGTTGTGGTGAAGACATGTTACTCTACTGTCACTAAGAAAAAGAGAAATTTAAAAGCTCAGGAAAATAAAAAAAGCAATAGAAGAAAGTCCTGATCCTTATATAAAGCATTTTGTAAGTTAATGATTTCAAGTCTAAAACTTGTAATGTATTGATTTTATCTTATTTGAAGCAACTGGGATAAGTTCCATAACTTTATAGCCATCGATGAACTTCCTGTTTTTGGTCTTAGCTTTGCCCTGAGTCCCATGTGCTGCTCTCTTGGAAGGTTCCAGGATTTGGCGAACAAAATTGTATTCTCCTTTTTTATGTCCCCTCTGGTTTTGTAGCCTTTGATGATAATACCTCTCAGCCTTGGTCTTCCCAAAGTGATTATTTCTTGCCTTTTTAGCCTATAATGATTTGGCAGCCATCTCAGTCCCTTAAATATTTTGTTATGCTTTGTATTGCCCCTAGATTACCTATCTGCCTTTCTGGGGCTGAGTGCCTAGTGCTGCTTCTGTACTGAACATTTTATTCACTGGTCAGATCATTTTTCTTTTGAGTTTTCAGTACTCTTTCTGTTACTGTGCAGCATTTGATGATATTGCTAGTAGTGTGGCCCATGAACCGGTATCATTATGGAAGTTCCTAATGACTGTTAGATACCTTCCTTGGCATCTAACATTTATTTGAAGGTGTTTGAATGTGGGGCCAATTCTTCTACGAAAAGAGTTAGGATTGTTTTGAATCTCTAAATGTTATTCAGGAGTCCACTTCAAAACATTTCCATGTGGGGGTATTTTTTGTTGGTTTTGACCCATTTATATAGTATCAGAGGACATACTAGCAGTTAATGCTTTGAAGAGCACCTAGTTAAGTAGTAATCCCTGAGGAATAGCATTGTTTACCCCTCTGGATGTATTGCGAGTATCCATTTGTCTCTGACTTCTGGTTCTTGTACAGGGACATATTCTTAATACAACACCAACTTTTCCATGAGTGTCCCCTGATAACTCAGGTTTTTAAATAGCCTTTTGCATGAAACTTTTTGAGAATCTAGTTCTAGCCCTTGCATCCTCTTTGTCCAACTACTTACATTCAGTGTCAAGTAATTCTAGCAAAATTATTTTACTTCACACACATTCTTTTTTTTTTTTTTTTTTTGAGATGGAGTCTCACTCTGTTGCCCAGGCTGGAGTGCAGTGGCACAATCCTAGTTCACTGCAACCTCTGACTCCCAGGTTCAAGCAATTCTCTTGCCTCGGCCTCCTAAGTAGCTGGGATTACAAGCACCCACCACCATACCTGGCTAATTTTTGTATTTTTAGTAGGACACGGTTTCACCATGTTGGCCAGGCTGTCTCGAACTCCTGACCTCGTGATCTGCCCTCCTCGGCCTCCCAAAGTGCTGGGATTACAGGCATGAGCCACCGCGCCTGGTCACATTCTTTATTTTCTTGCTGAATCTCATGTGAATTGAATGTTGACCACAACTTTTCTAATCAATAGGCTATTTTCATAACCCGCTTATTGGCCCCTCTAACAGTATTATAACCTATGTTGGATATCATTTACTAAAAGGACCATCATCTCTTCCAGATCAAAACAATTTAAAACATTTAACCAAGAATAAGTCATAGGAGCAGCATAGCATAGTGGTTAAGAGCCCAGACCGGGAAGCCAAACTGCCCAAGTCTGAAGTCAGACCTGGAAGTTCAGACTCGCTACTGATGCATCTACTCACTACTTGGGTGACCTTGGGCAAGTGACTTAATGACTCAGTGCCCCATTTCCTCACCTGTAAAATGGGGATAATCATTAGAATGAGCTTATGAAGTGAGCTAATATTTGTAAAGTACTTAGGACAGAACCTGGCACATAGTAAAAACCTAAATGTTCATCAAGCTATTAAAAATTGGTAGTTCGATAGCAGACCTTTCAAGTATGACCACAAAGTAAACAGGCTTCAAAATTTAAAACATGCAAATGATTCTTTAAAACTGATCATTTCAGGAATATATGCATATTCCAGTGATATCACCATTGCTGAAAAACATTTCCAAAACTTCTTTTTTGGAATAGCCTTTATGAGCCACATTAAGAACAAAGCAGGCGAACAAAGCAGGCCAGGCGCGGTGGCTCATGCCTATAATCCTAGCACTTTGGGAGGCTGAGGCAGGCGGATCACTTGAGGTTAGGAGTTCAAGACCAGCCTGGCCAACATGGTGAAACCTCGTCTATACCGAAAATATGAAAAAAAAAAAAAAAAATTAGCTGGGTATGGTGGCCGGCACCTGTAATCCCAGCTACTCAGGAGGCTGAGGCAGGAGAATCGCTCAAACCCGGGAGGAGGAGGTTGCAGTGAGCCGAGATTGGCCACTGCACTCCAGCCTGGGCAAAAGGGTGAGATTCCATCTCAAATAAAAGAAAAAAAAAAAGGCCGGGCACAGTGGCTCACACCTGTAATCCCAGCACTTTGGGAGGCCGAGGCGGGCGGATCACGAGGTCAGGAGATTGAGACTATCCTGCTAACATGGTGAAACCCCGTCTCTACTAAAAACACAAAAAACTAGCTGGGCGTGGTGGTGGGCACCTGCAGTCCCAGCTACTCGGGAGGCTGAGGCAGGAGAATGGCGTGAACCCGGGAGGCAGAACTTGCAGTGAGCCGAGAGCGCGCGACCGCACTCCACTCCAGCCTGGGTGACAGAGAGAGACTCCGTTTCAAAAAAAAAAAAAAAGAACAAAGCAAAAACTTCTTACTTTGTGGTCACACCTCATCTTTATTGCTTCCTAACTGGTATTATCCAGCTCTATTGCCCTACTTTTACCCATCAGATTTACTCTTTTTAAAAATCAGATTCTGGCCAGGCACAGTGGCTCGCGCATATTAATCCCAGCACTTGGAAGGCTGAGGTGGGAATGTCAGTTGAGCCTGGAACTTCAAGGCCAGCCTGGACAACATGCTGAAACCCCATCTCTAACAAAAATACAAAAATGAGCTGGGTGTGGTGGCATGCACCTGTGGTCCCAGCTACTCGTGAGACTGTGGTGGGAGGATCGCTTGAGTCCAGGAAGTTGAGGCTGCAGTAAGCTGTAATCACTCCACTGCACTCCAGCCTGGGTGACAAAATGAGACCCTGCCTCCAAAAAAATAAAAATAAAAATCAGATTATTTACAAATAATAAAATTTGCTACCACTGCAGATACTCAAACGACAGTTTCAGGGGCTGTTATACAGTCTGTTCAGTTTGCTTCAAGTTACACTGGGAGGATGTGTTCACTTATTTCAAACTATGTAACTGGAGATATTCAGGCTATAGAAAGTTAGCTAATATAGAAAACATACTGCTAAAACAATGCTCTAATGGTACATCCACAATTTTCTGAAGCTAGAATGAAGATAGATAATTATGTATTATTGGCAGGGCACGGTGGCTCACGCCTGTAATCCCAGCACTTTGTGAGGCTGAGGCAGGCGGATCACGAGGTGAGGAGTTCGAGACCAGCCTGACCAACATGGTGAAACCCTGTCTCTACTAAATATACAAAAATTAGCAGGGCATCGTGGTGCGCACCTGTAATCCCAGCTACTCAGGAGGCTGAGGCAGGAGAATCGCTTGAATCCAGGAGGTGGAGGTTGCAGTGAGCCGAGATTGTGCCACTGCACTCCAGCCTGGGCAACAGAGGGAGACTCCATCAAAGAAAAAAAAAATTATTATTCTCTGCCCGCCCCCACCCCATCTTTCTTTAATACCAGATCTCAATACGGACACAGTCTCAAAAGCATGACAATTTTTACGTAAAGCATTATCATACTGTGTATGACCTTCAGAAATCTAGCAACAATCAACTCATTTGAGTTTAAAACAGCCTGTCCAAAATGCCTTTTATTTACAAGGAAATTATTCTTTGTACAATGGTAAGAAAATCTATTTTCAATGATATTGTTTCTGGTTAACAGTTCTAAAATGGACTGACGTTAGAAGAGTTCTTTCAGAACTCACTGTTGGCAATATATGCCTTTTTACTGAAATTCTACTACTCTCAAAGGTGACATTTACAGAATTTTTAACTCTTCAAAGTTGATCATAAACACGGTCTCTCTTTGATTCTATCAGACTTCTTTTTTACTTTATGGAGTGCTCAGAAACTTACGTCAGAAGTAATTTTAAGCTTTAGTAACCAAATTTATCCCAGCATGGTTTAAAATGAAAACAAAAATAAGTTGTTTTGCAGATGTCATGAAAGCAAGATCTAAGTTTTACTAAGGTTCCTACTTATTTTAAGCTCTTTATCCAACTTCAATTTATTTAATTTAAAAAAATCAAAAGAACTACAGCTTCAGAAGATTTAGCAACTTCTATCTGGATCAAGTCAACCTCTAACCAGGGCTGGCCAAAGGTTTTGTTTCTCACGCACTCTAATTTTAAATAACAATAATTTTAATAATAATTCAGAAGAAATACTTCACTTGGTTTCCCTTTACTTCTCTTCAGCCCATGACTTAACGCTGCACTGTGCCCATCAACTTCACGATTTAGCAAAGCAATTAACCAGCAACTCCTGAACAAGCTTCACAGGAAGATTTTTCTCATGACTGAGCAGCCGTTTTTATCCTAGGTGAGTTTTCTCAAAAATAATTGAGTAAGTAATCTACCAGCTTCTGGCATATCTTTGGCAAGTCACATTTTCTGCCTTGTTTTGTAGCTGAGAAGGGTATAAAAATCCCACGAAAAGAAACCAGAACTCCGAGCCTAGAAATGTAAATTATGATCCAAGCTAAACCACTCACCAGTTGGTTGAACCTAAGTATAAATAATTACCCCCATCCCAGCTCCATTTACCCATCGAAATGGCGATAACATAATCAGTTGCAACCACAAGGTGATGCGGTTAGAAAAAGATAGGAAGAAGAGTGCTCTGAAACGTGTAAAGGTGCTACGTAAATAGAAGGTAATAATCAGTGGTGACAGAACTCTCACCTCCTTTGCAAAACTTAAAGGGTCATCTCATGGCTTACAGCAAGAAAAGAGTCGAGCACAAGTAACCCGAGCCCGTTGGTGACACTTTGCCGAACTCCAGGGGGAGGATGATTAGCAGTTCCGGGCGGGAGTCAGGAGAATGCCAATCCGAGCCCAACGTGGGCTGCTCGCGCTCTCGCCCCCCATGGGAGAGAGGCACTGAGAGATCAAAATGCAACCCCGCTCCAAGCCACCCTCGCAAATGAAGGAATTTCGAAGAGGGGGTAGGAGGAGGCGGGCTGGGCGCGCCGCTGCCACCTCCGACTGGGCCACTCCTTGCGCCGCCAGCGCCCCAGCCCACGGTGCCACGTCCCGGCCTCCGTCACCGCCAGCCCTCACCCTACCCGGAACGGGGCACATCTTCCGGAGGCCACCGGAATCGTTCCCTTGCAGGCGCCCCTGGGGGGCCACACATCGGACCAGGGAAGGGAGGGGACAGTTAGAGCGGTTGGAACAGTTGCCCCCAGGCTGGCCGCCCCGGAACCCGGCCCGGCCCGCCCCGGCGGAGCCTCAGACACGGCCCCGGGCCGGGAAGGCTCCCCAAGGGCAGGCCTCGGCGCCGCCGGCCCAGCGCAGCCCCTTAGGGAGCGGCCCCGCGCTGCAGGCTCACCTCCAATGTGTCAAAAGCGCATGTTCGCCGCCGCTCAACCGACGTCTCCCCTCCGCCGGCCCGGCCAGGCCCGCCCAGCCGCTCGGCTCAGCTCCCCTACGCAGCCCCGAGCTCCACTCAGCGTACCTCCGCGCCCGGCTCCTCCCCGACACGTCAGGGACTGCCTGGGTGTCCGAGGCCATTCTGTGACGCACGGGGGCGGGGCTCGGAGCATGCGCGGCAGCGCACGGGTATGCGGGGCGGGGTGGGGCGGGGCTGGTGTCACAGGGGGCGGGCCAGAGCCCGGCGCGCTGACGCCAAGCTGACGGCGTCCTCTTGCGCAGGCGTCCTCTTGCGCAGGCGCTCCTGGACTCTGCGACCGGCTGGTTTTGGCTTGTGCAGTTCCCTGAAACTGCTATTCGGGAGAGTGGTGCCAAGACGGATGGGAACCTGCCTTCAGTTTTCTGGCCACCAAGGCCCTTCAAGTGTCCATGTGTCTGTGTTCCCGTTTATAAAATGAATCTCGGCTCATAGTTCACCTCCGAGTCCATTCCCCCTGCTCGAACACCCAATGGAACATCAGGAGCATTCTAAGCATCACTCTCACAAAGCTCTGTGTTGTTTTTACAGAACTTCCACTGTTTACATTTTGTATTTGTTCTCATCTTCCTCCAGTAGAATTCTAAGTTCTATGAGAGCTAGAACCTCTTATGCCTTGCTCATCCCAACAGATAACTTGGTTCTAGGCAAAGTGGACGCTCAAATATTTGATGAATGAATGAATGGATTCGTTGGCACAAAGGGGATTTTATATTTGCCCATTTATATATTGTATATATCTGAGCATATATTCATTTTTGTATACATGCGTGTACGTGTGTGTATGGGTGTGACTTTCTCCCCTCCAGGTCCCCCAAGAAATGGAGTCCTATGTGTATATATATACCTCTTACAATCCATCTTGGTTTTTGTTTGTTTGTTTGTTTGTTTGTTTTTGAGACGGAGTTTCGCTCTTGTTGCCCAGGCTGGAGTGCAGTGGCGCGATCTCGGCTCACTGCAACCTCCGCCTCCCAGGTTTAAGCAATTCTCCTGCCTCAGCCTCCCTAGTAGCTGGGATTACAGGCGCCTGCCACCACGCCCGACTAATTTTTGTATTTTTAGTAGAGACGGGGTTTCACCATGTTGGCCAGGCTGGTCTCGAACTCCTGACCTCGTGATCCGCCCGCCTCGGCCTCCCAAAGTGCTGGGATTACAGGCGTGAGACACAGCGCCCGGCCCCATCTTGCATTATTAATGTTTATATATTTTTAGTACGTAAACACACACGTGTATGTGTGTGTGCGCGCGTGTGTATTCCCTAGCGGACTTGGAAGCAAGCTGGAGACGATACTAGCCCAAAAAGGAGGGAAAGAGGGATAGGCAACTTACATAGGGAGTGGAAACTTAAAGGAAGAGATACATTTTAAAAACAATTTTAAGAACTTTTGCTGTATAATGTACAAGGTAATCCTTTCCTTTAGGAGATGGGGTCTACTGTGTTGCCCAGGCTGGTCAAGAACTCCTGACTTCGGCCAGGCGCTGCAGCACTTTGGGAAGCCGAGGCGGGCAAATCACCTGAGGCCAGGACTTCGAGACCAGCCTGGCCAACATGGTGAAACCCTGTCTCTACTAAAAGTACAAAAATTAGCCAGGCATGATGGTGGGCACCTGTAATCCTAGCTACTCCGGAGGCTGAGGCAGGAGAATCGCTCGAACCCGGGAGGCGGAGGTTGCAGTGAGCACCACTGCACTCTAACCTGGGCGACAGAGTGAGACTCCGTCTAAAAACAAACAAAACAAAACAAAAAAGAACTCCTGACTTCAGGCAATCTTCCCACCTCAGCCCCCCACAAAGTCCTGGGATTACAGGCACCAGCCTCCATGCGGCACGCAATGTAATCCTTTCCAATTTCAGTGCTTTTAGGATTGGATTTGTGGGTGTGAACACAAAAATAATGTGTAAGACATGCCTCAAGGTGAAAACAAAGTGAGCCTAGGAGGCCCAGTTTATATTTTTGAGGGCGATGGACATAAACAGGAACAATGCAAGATGGATTGTAAGAGGTACCCAAATCAATAAAGATCAGAGAAGGGATTAATGGGGTTTGTGGGAAAGGTAACATATTACATATGCCTATTATGAATAATATTATGAATAATATGCATATTATGAAAAAACTATGCATGGATTTCCAATTTTTTTTTTGCACAGGGCCAAGCATGGTGGCCCATACCTGTAATCCCAGCACTCTGGGAAGCTGAGGTAGACAGATCACTTGAGCCCAGAAGTTCGAGACCAGCCTGGGCAGCACAGTGAGACACCTGTCTCTAAAAAAATAAAATAAATGTTTGCACCAAAATAAATTTGTTCTAACTTGCTATAACATGTCTGAACAGGATCTAGCTTGAAGCACCAAGAAAGATAAGAAATCAGTTTGAAGAGAGTCCCTATCAGAACACATATTCTACAAAATTGAAGCAATACAAAATACTAAATTTATGGTGAAGCCTGGGTGGAAAAATGGTGGAATCATTGACGCTTTATAAAAGTGTAAAAGGACAAAGCCCCAAAAGAAGTCAGCAGTTTACAAATGGATAATTCATTTTAAGAAGAAACATGATGATGTTGAAGATGAAGCCCACAGCAGCAGACCCTCCACATCAATTTGTGAGGAAAAAAAGTAATCTTGTTCATGTGCTAATTGAAAAGGATCAATGATTAACAGCAGAAACAATAGCCAGCACCACAGATATCTCAACAGATTTGGCCTACACAATCCTTACTGAAAAATTAAAGTTGAGCTAACTTTCCACCCAATGGGTGGCAAAACCATTGTGCCCAGGTCAGCTGCTGACAAGAACAGAGCTTTCAAAATTTCACACATTTTAAACAAGTGGGATCAAGATCCTGAAGCTTTTTTTTTTTTTGAAGAATTGTAACCAAGAATGAAACTTCGCTTTACCAGTACAATCCTGAAGACAAAGCGGTGGCTACCAAGAGATGGAAGTAGTCCAGTCAAAGCAAAGTGAACCAGTCAAGAGCAAAAATCATGGCAACCATTTTGTGGGTTGTTCTAGGCATTTTGCTTTCTGGAGGGCTAAAGAATAATAACGTACTTATTACGAGAGTGTTTTGAGAAGATTAGCCAAAGCTTTAGTGGAAAAATGCCCAGGAAACCTTCATCAGAGAGACCTTTCCACCATGATAAAGTTCCTGCTCATTTCTCTCATCAAACAAGGGCAATTTTGCAAGAGTTTCAGTGGAAAATCAGTAGACATCACCTTACAGTCCCAATTTGGCTCCCTCTGAAGACTTTTTGTTTCCTAATCTTAAAAAATCTTTAGGCCAGGCGCAGTGGCTCATGCCTGTAATCCCAGCACTTTGGGAAGCCGAGGCAGGCGGATCACGAGGTCAGGAGATCGAGACCATCCTGGCTAACACGGTGAAAACCCGTCTCTACTAAAAATCCAAAAAATTAGCTGGGTGTAGTGGTGGACGCCTGTAGTCCCAGCTACTTGGGAGGCTGAGGCAGGAGAATGGCATGAACCCGGGAGGCGGAGCTTGCAGTGAGCCGAGATCGCGCCACTACACTCCAGCCTGGGCAACAGAGCGAGACTCTGTCTCAAAAAATATATATATATTGGCCTGCCATTAAATATATATATATTTATATTTATATTTATATATAATATATATATTTATATATAAATATATATATATATCTCTTTAAAGGGTAGCCATTTTTCTTCAGTTAATAATGTAAAAAAGACTGCATTAACATGCTTAAAATCCCCAGATCCTCAATTCTTTAGGGATGTACTAAATAAATGGCTGATATCATGGTTACGAAAGTATCCTGACCTTGGCTGGGCACAGTGGCTCACACCTGTAATCTCAGCACTTTGGGAGACCTGGGGCGGGTAGATCACTTGAGGCCAGGAGTCCAAGACTAGCCTGGCCAACATGGTGAAACCCCGTCTCTACTAAAAATATAGAAAAATTAGCTGAATGTGATGGCATGTGCCTGTAATCCCAGCTACTCAGGTGGGTGAAGCTTGAGAACCGCTTGAACCTGGGAGGTGGAAGTTGCAGTGAGCCAAGATCATGCCACTGGGTGACAGAGCAAGCCTGTTTCAAAAAAAAAAAAAAAGGTGTCTTGACCTTGAGGGAGCTTACGTTGAGAAATAAAGTTTATATCTTTTAATTTTATCTTTTAATTCCATTTTTCTATGAACTTTCCGAAGTTCTCTTGTATGCACTGGCAACTGTGCTAAACACTTGGTCTGCTTAATTTCATCCTCACAGTAATCCCATGAGATAGGTAGTGTTATTCCCATTTTTTAAATGAGGAAACAGACTCAGCAAGATGAAGTTTCCCAAAGTCTCTCAACTAGAAAGATGAGGCCTCAAGCCTCAAACCCACCCTGTTCGAATTGTCTAACTCTCCAGAAAACACACTATTAACAACTATTATATTGCTACTCAAGAAGGGGGAGTATTAGCAATTACTACCATGTATTGGGCTAGAGCACTGTGCTAAGTGCTTTACATGCTTTCCCTCCCTCAGTCCTCACAATGAGCCTGTGAGGCTGTGATTATTGCTTCCATTGTACATATTGTAAACTGAGACCCAGAGGAGCTAGGGCTTAAACTCAAGTAGGTCTTACTTCAAGGCCAGTGGCCTGGGACAATGGACTGGTACAGCTCGTTCAGGCTCTGGGGCTCTGCTTCCCTGGGTGAAGCTGTGCTCTGGCTGATGAGATCACAGACAGGGAGGGGATGAATGAAGGCTTTCCTGTGGACCTGGTGCCAAGACAAAACAGTCCTATCCCAAGAGGAAAAAAATTAATAAGGGCTGCGGCTCTCTCCCTGCCTCCTGGCTGAGGTGCTGGGAAACGCACTGAGTCATCTAATGGCAGGCCAGGCCCCTCGGAAAATGTTGGCATCATCTTCCAAGCTGCCACCCCTCCCACGCGGCCTGGACCCAAAACTGGTGTTTGTCAGGACTGGACTATTGGCCTTATCTTAATGAACGGGCTTTGCCTGGCAGGATTCTAAGAGGTGCCGAAGGGCCCAAACTGATGTAATTCCTTCCCCCTTGTGGTTGAGCTTTCTCCCTGGGAGATGGGCCCAGGGGCTGGGCATGGCAATTAACCATCAGCAACCTTTGCCCCAGCCCCTGCTTCCAATATACCAAATCCAGAAAAAATAAAGTGGAAAGGAAGATGGAAATCAGCCCCGAAAGGGAACAGAAGTTATAAAACCAGCCCTTGTGGTGGTAAAAAAGGTGAGTGAGGGCTGCCCTACCCTCTGCCTTTATAAATCATTAGGAAGGGGTTTGCCGAGGCATGGGTCCCAGTACAAGGTCTTTCTTGGATTGAGCCAAAGAGGTTAATGTCACAGTCCCTGAGAGCATGCATGAGGATCCCAACATCTCTCCTGTCACAAACTCTGAGATTCAGGAAACAGAGGCCAGATTCCACCACTGGGAAGGGTGGAGGTTGACCGGCTACCCTAAGAGAGATCTGGGTACAAGCCCGAACCCTAGCTAGTAAAGATGCTGGACTTCGGCCACATCACACACTCACAGAAGGTGATATGTAATGCACACAGGCCCACTGTGGAAATTCTGACGAGATGGGGCATACTTAACTCTACTGAATCAGGTGAGCAAGACATCTCAAAATCAGCTTCAACCTAATCTCTCTCTATTCCTTTGGCCAGCATTTTTTGCTAATCTCTAAGGGTATAGATCTAGCTGGGCAAGGGACACCCACTGACTGGCCAGTTGCTAATGGTCTGGCAGATATGTCCACCAGATGTCCCACCACCACCTCCAGCTCTACATGCCGAAACCCCAAACAGATTTTCCTTTGCCCCAACAGAAATTTCCAAAACAATTTTCATGTTTCTGCCAATGGTGCCATCATTCCAGTCAGTGAAGCACAAGGCACTCATCAAATCCCCCTAATCATTTCCCTCCCCAGCTTGCATCTCACGCATGTGGTCACCAAAGCCCAAAGACTTTCCCTTCCTAAACTCAAGTAAATCTAGTCATATTTCAGTACTTTCTTCCCACATCGCCCATAATCCAAAGTTTCTTATTTGTCTGTCCCTCTCTCCCCAAACTTCTCTCCCTCGAATTTCTTCTTGTTTCAGCCCAGCAGTCCACACATAACCATAAGAATAATCTTTCTAAAATCTCACTGTATGCAGAGCATCCCTGCCTCCAAAACTTGTTTTGGCATCTTGTTACCTTTGTGATAAGGAACAAAGTAGTCTCATACTCAAGGCCTTCCCAAAGCAACTCCAGCCCACTTCTACGGTCTATATCCTATGGATCACCTCTCTAGGTCTGGCCAGACCCACCAGCATGGTCCCCCAAATAGATGATTCCCTTCCTCTATGGGCCTATCTTGTTGACTTCCCCTGCCCTTTACACTGCAGCTGCTGCCTAGGCTTGGCCAACCCACCTTCTCCTCTGCCTTTTGAAGTCTCACTCATATGCTAGCTCCTCCAGGAAGCCTTCCCTGATACTCAAAGTCCCAAAGTGAGCACTCCTTCCTCTGAGCTCACATGGAGCTCTACACAGTTCACAAGAGACTTATTAAACATGGCCTTTTGGTTACAGAGATGTCCAATCTCCCCCAAGAAACCAAAACTCACTGAGTGTAGGGACAGTGTTGATTGTCTTAATATATCCCCAGCAACAGGCACTTAGCAAACACTCATTTAATATGCTTCAACGAAAGTGAAAGAATGAACCAATGGTCTGGTGGCTATAACTTCAAAGGCAAGACTGACAGAACATTCTGGAAAATACCCCAAATCCTGAAAAAAGTCACCATAGACAGAGATTTTCGCTGGTATGAAAGGCTGAACTTAGATGATATAGGTTACAAAGGAACTAAGATTTGGGTCATAGGCAACTATGCCTTTTCTCTAGCCTAAATCTTAAACCCAGGCCATAGCGTCTATAATCCCTAATGCAATATCCTTTGCTTTTGTAATTAAATAATATTAATAATAATGTGTTTTTAAAATCTTAAAAATAGGCCGGGCGCGGTGGCTCATGCCTGTAATCCCAGCACTTTGGGAGGCCAAGGCAGGCAGATCACAAGGTCAGGAGATCGAGACCATCTTGGCTAACACGGTGAAACCCCGTCTCTACTAAAAATACAAAAAATTAGCCGGGCGTGGTGGCAGGAGCCCGTAGTCCCAGCTACTCGGGAGGCTGAGGCAGGAGAATGGTGTGAACCTGGGAGGCGGAGCTTGCAGTGAGCCGAGATCATGCCACTGCAGTCTGGCCTGGGTGAAAGAGACTCCATCTCAAAAAAACAAAAATCTTAAAAATATACACTTGGGGCCAGGCATGGGGGCTCACACCTATAATCCCAGCACTTTGGGAGGCCAGGGTGGTCAGATCACGAGGTCAGGAGTTCGAGACCAGCCTGGCCAGTATGGTGAAACCCCATGTCTACTAAAAATACAAAAAGTAGCCGGGTGTGGTGGCACATGCCTGTAATCCCAGCTACTCGGGAGGCTGAGGCAGGAGAATTGCTTGAACCTGGGAGGCGGAGGTTGCAGTGAGCCAAGGTCACACCACTACACTCCAGCCTGGGCAACAGAATGAGACTCTGTCTCGGAAAAAAAAAAAAAAAAAATACACACACACACACACACACACACACACACACACACACCACACACACTTGAGCCTTGAGGCGAGAAGTGGTTTTATATAGAGAGAAAAGTCTTTCATTCATTAGCAAGGAGTTTAGTGCCTGCTGAGGACCAGGCACTGTTCTAAGCCATGGATATCCCACCACAACTTTAAAAAGCACCCCCAACCCCTACCCAATATAATTAGCTTATATTCTAAAGGGAAAATAGACAACAAGCAAGCAGACTAATCTATTTCTGCCAGGTCATGAGAAATGCTATAAAGAAAAACAACCATGGCAAAGGATATAGTGTGGCAGGGCTGCTCCCTGAGTGAAAATAGGGCTTCATATTCATAGGATTCTCTTCCTCCGTAAAGTTGTCAAGGCCCTTAAAACCAAAGACTGCAATATAAGATGTAACCAAGATGTGAAATTTTAAAAGAACATAAAAGTACATGCAAATGCCTTAAATAGAGAAATGCATCTTAATTTTTCATCATAACACTTGTCACTGAGTGGGCACTCAATAAATATTGGTCGTATAAATGGCTTGCTGGGCAGTCCACAGAATGCCAGAGCCTTCAACCAGGAGATTAATTTCCCCCTCCAAGACTTTGGGTGGTTTTATTGTTTGTCTGTTTTTTGTTTTTGTTTTGAGACAGAGTCTTGCTCTGTCGCCCAGGCTGGAGTGCAGTGGCGCGAGCTTGGCTCACTGAGACCTCTGCCTCCCAGGTTCAAGCGATTCTCCTGCCTCAGCCTCCCGCCCCCGAGTAGCTGGAACTATAGGCCTGCACCACCACACCCAGCTAATTGTTTGTATTTTTAGTAGAGACGGGGTGTCACCATGTTGGCCAGACAGGTCTTGAACTCCTGGCCTCAAATGATCTGCCTGCCTCGGCCTCCCAAAGTCCTGGGATTACAGGCATGAGCCACCATGCCCAGCCTCCCTTCCAAGACTTTGAATGGTAACCAACTCATGTCCGATTCAAAAATGCTCACTATGGTTCGGTCCCTGACCCAGCCAGCCACAAACAGCCAGCCTGGGCTATTCCTATACCCAGGAATAGCCCAAAGGGAAAGAAGGTTCTATTTGTTGTCTTTATTGCATCCTCATTAGCTTCTGGAGCAAACAGAGCTCACCGACCACTCAAAGCAGCTCAGACTCCCAAACCTCAGCTCTCCCATCAGTTTATCCCCACACTTTCAAACTCCAGTTGGCTGTAAGTCAACAGAAAGGCTGGAATTGGGTAGAGATGAATTTGCTATGCAGTGTCTTAGGTTCCAAGCCCCCTTCCCTTTCCTTCCCTTTCCACTGTGCCTGAGAATGCGGCCTGCTTCTGGCCCTTGGCTCCCTTGCCAGGAAGGTGCTTTGCCTTGTGCAGGCCGCCAGGTGTAGCCTGCTGGAAGGTGGCTTTTAGAAAAGAGAAAAATGAGAACAGTTTAGGTTGCGGCTGAAACAGGCCTTCCTATGAAGGTCCTGCCCTGGGTGATGGTACCTGGAAAGAAAGAGACCTCATCCTTATCTGGGGGGTAAACTGAGGTTTCAAGAGCCTTTAATCCCCTATTGAGGTTTGTCTGGCCTTTTCTCCCCTATTGATGGAACTTGATACCCTGCCATGCTCCCATGAATCTCTGGCTGGTCCTAATTTCTTCCCAGAAGGCTCCCTTAACTGTGGACTTCCTGCTGATCTGGAACCTCACGGTTTTCCTGACTTCCCCAAGCTTCAGGCTTCACTATCATCCTTGGCTCTCATCCCGACCACGTGACAGGCACTACCCACACCCCAGAGTGGCAGCTGCCTCCCAAGAAAAGGATGGCATGACACTGTTAATTGCCCATTGGGTTAACACCTGGCAACCCCAAGGGCTGTTGACATCACACCTCCATAAACAGTGTGACTGTCCCTGGGAAAAAATGATATGTGCTCACATACCTTTATACAGACAAGGTGGCGCCAGGTTTACCTACTCCCAAACTAGACTAATGAAATGACGGGGCTGAAAAGAAATGGAGTGTTTCTTACCAGTCTAAGCTTATTAAGCAATTTTAGCCCGATTCCCATTACCAGGTAAGCCAATGAGTCAAAGTTGCCAGGACCAAAAGATCATGCTTCCAACCATTCAACAAATATTTAATGAGGGCCTGGCCCTGTTCTAGATGCCTGGCATAGCACAATTAACAAAAGAAGCTAAATTCTTTCCTTCCTGGAGATTTTCTAAAAATGAAAAAACAAAAAGAAGGAAAATAGAAGGGAAACAGAAATAGACAGAGAGGCTGGGCTCAAGGGCTTACTCCAGTAATCCCAACACTTTAGGAGGCTAAGGTGGGAGGATCACTTGAGGCCAGGAATTCAAAACCAGCCTGTGTAACATGGCGAGACCCATCTCCACGTAAATTTAAAAATTAGCTGGGCAAGGTGGCTTACATTTGTAATCCTAGCTATTCTGTAGCCTGAGGTGGGAGGATGGCTGGAGGCCAGGGATTTGGGGCTGCAGTGAGCCATGATTGTACCATGGGTTGGTTGCCTGGGTAACAGAGCAAGACCTTAACTCAAAAAAGAAAAAAGAAAAAAAAAAAAGACAAAGAACCCTGAGTATGCCAGCAGTAACAAGTGCTAAGGAGAAAAAATTAGTCAAGGTTTTTTTAATATTTTACATTTAAGGTAGCATCTAGGGCAGCGGCCATGACTTATTTATCTCTGGCCCCAATGCCTGGCATGTTATGGGCAGTTAACATTTATTCAATGAATAAAAGCTTTCAATGATTTTTTTTTTTTTTTTGAGACAAGGTCTCACTCTGTCACCAAGGCTGGAGTGCAGTGGTTCTCTCACAGTTGACTGCAGCCTTGACCTCCTGGGCTCAGGTGATCCCCCGACCTCAGCCTCTCAAGTACTTGGGACCACAGGCATGTGCCACCACACCCAGCTAATTTTTGTACTTTTTGTAGAGATGGGGTTTCACCACGTTGCCCAGGCTGGTCTCAAACTCCTAGGCTCAAGCGATCCTCCACCTTGGCCTCCCAAAGTGCTAGGATTACAGGCATGCGCCACTGCGCCTGGCCTCAAAGCACTTTTTTAGTTTAGAACTCTAATAAAGAACTTCCCTTTAGAAACAAGCAATAAGAAGCAATTGACAAAATTTTTAAATGCAGGTGGCTAAGAAACATGTGAATCATATCCTGCCTTGATCCTAATCAAACACATTCAAAGTAGGATAGCAAAGAAGAGAGTCTATATTTCATCCAACAGGTATAAGAGATTCTAAAACATTAGACTACAAATGCATACAAGAGCACTGAGAAACGAGCACCCTCGTGAAAAGGGCTAAGGAGGATGTCACAGTTCTTGGTAAGCAGTTTAGCAGCCTGTATCAAACACTTAGAAACGTGGAACCTCGGCTAGGCATGGGGGTTCACGCCTATAATCCCAGCACCGTGGCAGCAAGGCAAGAGGACCGCTTGAGCCCAGGAGTTCAAGACCAGCCTGAGCAAGACAGTGAGAGCCCGTCTCTACAAAAAATGTAAAAGGAATAAAAACTTTATATTAAAAAAACAAAGGGCTGTGGGCGCGGTGGCTCACGCCTGTAATCCCAGCACTTTGGGAGGCCAAGGCGGGTGGATCACGAGGTCAGGAGATCGAGACCATCCTGGCTAACACGGTGAAACCCCATCTCTACTAAAAATACAAAAAAAAATTAGCCAGGCATGTTGGCGGGTGCCCGTAGTCCCAGCTACTCAGGAGGCTGAGGCAGGAGAATGGCGTGAACCCGGGAGGCGGTGCTTCCTGTGAGCTGAGATCGCGCCACTGCGCTCCAGCCTGGGCGACAGAACAAGACTCCGTCTCAAAACAAAAGAAAAACAAAACAACAAAACAAAACAAAAAACAAAGGTGCAACCTTTGTGATCCAGCGTTCTGCTTCTAGGAATTTACCTAAAGGGAAGTATTAAGGATGTGTGCAAATTGTCCAACAGGATGTTCATCAAAGCATTGTTTAGCAAAAAATTAGGAACAACAAGGACTAAAGGACTAATGAAGTGGAATGATGTAATAGCTACACAATATAATAGTAACCAAATGGTAACAACGTTACAGAAGAATATTAATAAGGAAAATGTCCACAATATGCAGTTAAATGAATCAAGCAATTAACTCAACAATCGGTATGGGATCCCATCTTTGTAAAGTAGAACAACATACATACGTTATACGTTAGACAA
The DNA here is from genome assembly GCF_000001405.40 of Homo sapiens. NCBI lineage: Eukaryota > Metazoa > Chordata > Mammalia > Primates > Hominidae > Homo > Homo sapiens. Next base: position 8,424,145 of record NC_000017.11, on the reverse strand, counting down.
AGGGTCTAGGGACAAAAACACCAAAATGAGGTGAGATCACAGTCTAATCTCTCTCTCGTCTGTTCTTCCTTCCTTTTTTTCTTTTCTGTATTTTTATCAAAAATGTCTTAAACGTGTAATTTTCTAAAGTTTAAAAAATAAGGATGCATCCAAACTTAACAAAGCAAGGTAATTTCCTCAAAATTCTTTGTAAATGATGTAAACTATTTCCTAAGCCTATGGATTTAGGATCTGTTAAAATTTTTTTAAAAGGCAGCCTTTCAGCCAAGTAACCCCAGTAGATACAAGAGTGACCTGAGCACTCATGTCAGTAAAGCCTCAAAGGAAGGGCTCCCAATTCTGCAACACAGATCTTAGGAATTAATTCACTTCTGCTATGACTCCCTAATTAGTCCAACCTGATGTTATGTATGTTGTCATGTACAATTCCCTCCTTTTTTGTTTGTTTGTTTGTTTGTTTTTGAGACAGAGTCTTGCTCTGTCACCCAGACTGGAGTGCAGTGGCCTGATCTCGGCTCACTGCAACCTTCGCCTCCTGTGTTCAAGCAATTCTCCTGCCTCAGCCTCCTGAATAGGTGGGATTACAGGAATGCACAACCATGCCTGGCTATTTTTTGTATTTTTAGTAGAGATGGGGTTTTGCCATGTTGGTCAGGCTGGTCTCTACCGCCTGGCCTCAGGCAATCTGCCCGTCTCAGCCTCCCAAAGTGCTGGGATGATAGGCATGAACCACCACACCCGGACTACACTTCCCTCTTTTGAACATATATACTGGCTCTCCAGTGTAAGTTTCTGCCCTACAATCTTTTCAATTTCATACCTTCTAAACACCTACTAACTGAAAACATAATGATATCTGAGACTTTGAGTGGTAGAATTACCTGGGATGTCAACTGTCACTAATCTGGAATGTTAAGGATTGCTTCTCTAGGGGGGGTCACTTGTCTGGTGACCATTTTCGAAATAAGAACAAAATAATACCCCAACCATTTAAAACTAAAACTTAATATGATAAAATAACAGTACATGGGATCACAGAAGAAATTTCACACTAGTTTTCATCCATCCCTATGAGATACAACACAAATCTAGATGTCTGCTTCGAAATTACAAGGAGGGCTGGGCGCAGTGGCTCATGCCTGTAATCCCAGCACTTTGGGAGGCTGAGGCGGGTGGATCACGAGGTCAGGAGTTCAAGACCAGCCAACATGATGAAACCCTGTCTCTACTAAAAATACAAAAATTAGCCGGGTGTGGTAGTGGGTGCCTGTAATCCCAGCTGCTCAGGAGGCTGAGGCAGAGAATTGCTTGAACCTGGGAGACAGAGGTTGCAGTGAGCCGAGATCGCACCATTGCACTCCAGCCTGGGTGACAGAGCAAGACTCCGTCTCAAAAAAAAAAGGAAAAGGAAAAAAGAAAATTACAAGGTGGTTTTATGGCCTTTACATGGAAAACATTTTCCGTTGAAAATTAGGCGACGGGACTTCTTCACTCAGGAGTGCCTATACTATAGAGGTGGATTTTTACTCATAAACACTGAATTGCAGACCTGAAACATCCCAGTTTCCATGTTAATCACAGTAGAAATGCCCCTTCCAGGAGAGGGAAGCAGGCCTGGCAGAAGAGAAGACATTCACTGAAGTGCTGGGGACAAGATAAAGGGGAGGCAGGGGGCTGGGCATGGTGGCGGGTGCCTGTAATCCCAGCTGCTTGGGAGGCTGAGGCAGGAGAATCACCTGAACCCAGGAGGCAGAGGTTGCAGTGAGCCAAGATCGCACCACTGCACTCCAGCCTGGGCAATAGAGCGAGACTCCGTCAACAACAACAAAAAAAGGTGGGGGTGGAGGGGAGAGGCAGGGGAGCCCTTTCTCCAAGCACGTTGCTGTTTCAACAATTTTCTAAAGATTATGTGTTAACAGGATGGTTATTAACACCCCAATAAAAAGATATTAGAGGAAGTAGTTTGAAAGCAAGAGGCCCAGAGACATAGAGCAGAGGATCAAAGGACAGCAAGGTCTACCCTCCACCCCCAGCCATTGCAGGCACCACCTTTTCTCAGGGCTCCCACACTGGTGTGAGAACCCAGCCATGCCTCATGTTATTCACCTTGGCCAAATCAGCGCCATCCCAGCTGATTTTGTTAAAGTGACTTCCCTTCTCTGGGCCTCAGTTTCTTCATCTGTAAAATGAGCAGGTTGAACCAGATGACATTGTTGACAGTGAGTGAGTCAGGACCCACCCTGACATCTAGCCAAGCACCATCCCGGTGGAGCAGAGAGCCCTTCCTCTCCTTGGCCAGTCTGCAGAATGTGATGGCAGAGTCAGCCCTCTCCTGGGAGGGTGAGGGTAATGACTAAGGATAGTCTTATTCTTGCCAACGTTCCTTTCTATGCCCTAAGGAATTGCTGATCTTGCAGAATGAACCACTTCATGGGCATCTAAGGTCTGGTGTATTTGTTTCCTGTGGCTGCTATAATTACCACAAGCCTGGTGGCTTAAAACAATAGATTTATCTTCTTGCACTTCTGAAGGTCAGTAGTGTCTAAACCGATACTTAAAGAGCTAAAATCAAGGTGTCGGGCAGCGTTGGTTCCTCCTGAAAGCTCGGAGAGAGTCAGTTTCTTGCCTCCTCCAGCTTCTAGAGGCCACCAGCGCTCCTTGGCTTGTGGCTGCATTTGTTCCAATAGCTGCTTCCATCATCATATTGCCTTCTCTGACTTTGATAAGCCTCCCTCTTTTAAGGACCCTTCTGATTACATTGAGCTGACCCAGATAATCCCCCCATCTCAAAAGCCTTAATTTAATCATGTCTGCAAAGTCCCTTTTGCCATATAAGGTAACATACAGGTTCTGGGGATTAGGATGTGAACATTTTTGGGGGGCCTATTATTCTGCCTACCCCTTTCTGATCTTCCAGTTGTACCACCTGCACATTATTTGCTGTTTCTGCATATCATCTTTGAATATTTATTGGAATGTACTCATTTATTTAAAGATTAGCTTAAATCTTCCATTAACCTCATTCTAAATGATCATCTCTATGAAACTATAGAATTGATGTTAATCATATTTTCCCTAACATTCCCTAAAATAAATACCTAACTATTGAAATTTCAAATGTGCATCTCTTACCACTTAACATCAATCTGCCTGTCACCAGTAGTACACAGACCATCACTTAGGGAATAAAAATATAGTCCAGCCTACTGAATTTACAGAAAAGGGTAATTTGTCCAAGAATACACACCAGCAAAGAGCAAAACTTCAGCTACACCCACAACTTCTGCTTCCTGTCTCCATGCTCATCAATGACAACTTCAAAGTACGTCAGCTTTTCCTTAATAGCATCCCTAACATTGATGATTCATATAATCTAAGGCTTGGTTCTCCTTCTCTTACACTCATAGGTATTTTATATTTGAAAAATATATAATGAGACTTACAAGGGCTTATATAAAGGGCTTCCCTTTGCTTCCCCTGTCAACCAGCATTCATACATCTGACTTATCTGTGTTAAACAGCAGCCTGTTTACTTGACCTACATCTGGACAGCGTCCAGGCCCCAGGGAAGAATAAGCTGAGAATGGAGGTCAGTGGCCAGTGGTGACTTTGTAGTTTGCCCTTTGGCATCTGTCCCAGATGCAAATTGAACTTTGAAACCACTTTTGAGAAGCCAAGAGTCCTTTCTGTACACAGAGTGTGGGATGATGTAATTGTCCTCTTCTTACATAACAGTCAGCATGCAATTTAAAAAAATAGCTATCATTTATTGAATATTTAGTATGGGACAGGCCCTGTGTGAAGTGTTTTATTTTTTATTTTGGGGGGGCAGCCTCTTGAACCAGAGCAGGCTCAGAGAACTTAACTCTCGTAAGTGCTTTACAAACACTCATTCACAACAATGCTATGAAGCAGCTATTCATGTTCCCACTTTACAGATGAGGAAACCCAGTCCTAGAGAGGTTAAGCAACGTCTCCAAGGTCACACAGCTAGTATGACAAGGTCAGCATTCATAGACCCTCAGACGTAGAAGAGAACCTTGAAATAATCTGCCACATAAGAAAACCAGGGAAGTGTTGAGCCATCTGCCCAAGGACACATGAGACTGCGTTAGTGGCCGACTCAGGGACAGAATTCAGGTCTTCAGCTCTTAGACCAGTCTGTGTCTTTGGATTTTTCTCTCCGTTAAGCTATTATTTCTCGGGTGATCTGCTTCTTTATTCTCCTCATTCCTTCTTGCACTCCTTCATGGGTGCTTCTGGCCCTCGTCAGTTTCACTGTGATGCAAAGCTGTGGAGGTATCTAATGAGGGTCCCAGAATGACCCTTCCCGATCACTCCCTCTGACCCAGCAACAAACATGGAAAGTGCTAGAAAATCTCTATGAGTCTGTATTCATTAAATTGGAATTAGTAATAATGTAACCTGAAAAAGAATTAAAGTTTACCTTTTTCCTTTTTCCCCCAAAAAAAGAGAATGCTAAGCAGATACATGGTGGAAACAGGATTAGATGGGGTCGTGATCAAGAGAGGAACTTGTTAATCAAAATTTTAACCCAATAGAAACCTAAATGTGTGTCATTTAGGAGATTGGCTAAATAAATGATTGTATATACATGCAAAGAAATACTGTATGGTCACTGGAAATGATGTCATAGAACAATGCATATGAAAACAAATTATGATTTCATAAGTTGAGAGCATGACACAAAATAAAATTACTCCACTTTTCTTTTTATAAGTATATGCTCAGAAAAAAAGACTGGAATATATTTATATGTATTAGACTGGATATATTTATAAGTGGTGGTTATCTCTGAGTAATTCATATTTTCTTTTTTGTGTTTATCAGTATTTTCCAAATTTTCTATAGCAAATACACGTTACTTTGATAATCTAAGGGAAGAAAATCGTCAAACACTTTAGATGAATTCATTAAGAATCACTATTTTCTGAAGTCTGCTCTGAGACTGCATATACAAGAAAATAAGGGATCAGGCCAGGTGTGGTGACTCACACCTGTAATCCCAGCACTCTGAGAGCCCCAGGCAGGAGGATTGTTTGAGGCCAGGAGTTCAAAATCATCCAGGGCAACATGGCAAGACACTGCGTCTATACAAAATAAAAAAAAATAGCCAGGCATGGTGGTGTGTGCTTATAGTCTCAGCTACTTGGGAGGCTCTGGTGGGAGGATCACTTGAGCCCAGGAGGTTGATGCTGCAGTGAACCGTGATCACACCACTGCACTCCAGCCTGGGTGATAGAGTGAGACTTGGTCAAAAAAATAAAAAAGAAGAGAGAGAAAGAGAAAGAGAGAGAGAGAGAGGAAGAAAGAAAAGAAAAGGAAAAGAAAAGAAAGAAAGGAGGGAGGTAGGGAGGGAGGGAGGGAAGGAAGGAAGGAAAGAACAAAGGAAGGAAGGAAAGAGAGAGAGAGAGAGAAAGAAAAGAGAAAGAGAGAGAGAGATGAAGGAGGGAGGGAGGGAAGGAAGGAAGGAAGGAAAGAAGGAAGGAAGGAAGGAAGCAGCCATAAACTTTTTTATAGAGCTGGCCATACATTAATAATTTAACAGTCGTCCTGCCCTAGTAGAAAAATGAGCAATGGACACAAATAGATGGTTCATAGAAGAGATATAAATGGCCAATAAACACCTAAGAAGACCCTCAGCTACATCATTAATAACTTTTAAACATAAATTAAAATGACACTGAGATATCTCCTTGCTTTTTGCTTATCAGATTAGCAAAATTTAAGACAAATGGTAATACCCAATGTTAGTAAAGTGTAAGGAAGCCCACTGTCTCCTGCCATGCTGGTCACAGAGTGAAAAATGCAGTAACCATCTCAGTTACCATGATGGATTAAACACGTGTATCTTCACTTCCTCTTGAAATCCCACCAAAAAGAAAGATCGAACAAAAATTTTAAAAGGTATAAACCCACAGGGACAGATGATAGGAAAGGAAACAACAGTGGACAAGGGATGTCAACAGGATTTTGGAAGCTGGAAAGTGGATGAGTAAGCGACAGCTGACGCAGTAGATCAGAAAAGGCTGAAAACTAAATGCCAACCAGAAGCAAGCAGTGCTGGGCCTCTAACTCCAGAAAGTCTCAGTAACTGGAGGTGCGGGCTACTTTGAAAAGCAAGGTAGGGTGGGGCTAAAAACAGGAAGATCTGTCGAAACATATGATGTGTTTACAAAGCATTTCAACACAGGCTTCACAGCCCAGGCAATCAACAAGCCAAGGCATCTACTTCTCTCCCACCCCAGCAGGAGAAGGAGGTTTGCTTTCTGGAGGAACTAAACCAGAATAGCTCCAGATCTGGGGAGACTGGACACATCCGAGGGCAGGGTTAAGTCACTACATAAAGGGAAGAAGGATTTGGGAGAGGGGAAGTCTTTGAAGCTACATACAGAATGATGAGACCCCCTCGTGTCCCCTGATGCCCCCTAGAATGTTAGCAGCCTGGCTTGTATCCTCCAGGCAGGAGATTGGAGCATTCTTCTGGGGGGTTCCCAATCATTTGGACTGGTCCCCCCATTTGATCACCATACACAGAGATCCAACAACCAGGGCCAGATACAGACACACGCACAGACACAGACCCAAACACCCTTCAATCGGCTTCTAGTTCCTTGAACATAAAAATGAACATTCAACAAGGAATCAGCAAACATTTGAGGAAGCCTCCAATGTGAAAGATAGAACAAAATAGCATAAAAGAAATTCAAGGGCTTCAATATAATCCATAGGTTCAGGAAAAGAAAAAGAAAAAAGAGGCTGCGCACAGTGGCTCATGCCTGTAATCCCAGCACTTTGGGAGGCCAAGGTGGGCAGATCTCTTGAGGTCAAAATACAAAAATCAGCCAGGCATGGTGGCACATGCCTGTAATCCCAGCTATTCGGGAGGCTGAGGCACAAGAATCACTTCGACATGGGAGGCAGAGGTTGCAATGAGCCGAGATTGCACTGTTGTACTCCAGCCTGGGAGACAGAGCAAGAGTCTGTCTCGAAAAAAAGAAAGAAATAAAAAAGAAAAAAAGAAAGAGAGAGAGATTCAGCAGCAATAGACACAATGCAGGGAGCATAAGTAAGCTGGAAAAAATGTTTAATATCTTCAGAGAAATAAACAAAAGCATTACATCATGAAACAAGAACACGGGGCTTCAAAAAAAGAAGTGAGAACAAGAGCGCTTTTTAAAAATCAATGAGGGTTGAAATTAAAATATTCATTTGAAGAGCATGACCATTAAATTGAGAAAATCTTCCAAAACAGGAGAACAAAAGACAGATCACCCAAACAGGAGATTAAAGGAAGAAAATGAGAGGATAAACCCCAAAGTCTAATATTCAAATAATAGGAGTTTCAGAAAGCAAGTACAGGGGAAATGAGGAGGAAGGAATTATTTTAAGATAATAATTCAAGAGATTCCTCCAGAATTGAATAACATGAGCACCCAGATTGAAAGGGTCTCCTGAGTACGCAGGACAATCGATGAAAAAACACCCACAGATGAAATTTCAGAATCCTAGGGATGACAAGACACTCCTAAAAACTTCCACAGACATAAAACCAGGACAAGTACAAAGGATCCTGAATCATAATAGCAGAAGACTTCAACAATAAACTAGAAGCTTGAAAACAATGAACCATTGCCTTTAACATTCAGAGAAAAAAATCATTTCCAACAAGTATTCTAAATCAAGCCAGACCCTTCAACAAGTATAAGAATAGAATGAAGGACTGTTTCCAGATAGTCAAAACCTATCAAAATTACCTCCTGTCATTGGAAGATGCATGTCACCAAAACAGGGAAGAAAATAAAGGGGAAAATGTGAGATCCATACAAACAGACAAGTACTGTATGATTCTCCTCATATGAGGTAATTAGAAGAGTGAAATTCATAGAAACGGAAAGTAGAATGATGGTTGCCAGGGCCTGGGAGGGAGGGGAAAATGGGGATTCAGTGCTTAATGGGTACAGAGTTTCAGTTTGGGAAGATGAAGAAGTTCTGGAGATGGGTGGTGGTGACAGTAAGCACAACAATGTGAACGTACTTAATGCCACTGAACTGTACGCTTAAAAATGATTAAAATGGGCCAGGCGCGGTGGCTCATGCCTGTAATCCCAGCACTTTGGGAGGCGGAGACGGGTGGATCACGAGGTCAGGTGTTCAAGACCAGCCTGGCCATCATGGTGAAACCCCATCTCTACTAAAAATACAAAAAAGTAGCCGGACATGGTGGCAGGCGCCTGTAATCCCGGCTACTCAGGAGGCTGAGGCAGGAGAATCGCTTGAACCTGGGAGACAGAGGTTGCAGTGAACTGAGATCGCGCCATCACACTCCAGCCTGGGCAACAGTGCGAGACTCCATCTATTTACCACAATAAAAAATGTAAAATGGGCAAGGCACATTAAAAATGGAAAATAGGTGTCTCACGCCTGTAATCCCAGCGCTGGGAGACCGAGGCAAGAGCCCAGGAGTTCCAGAACAGCCTAGGCAACATGGTGAAGCCCTGTCTCTACAAAAAATACAAAAATCAGCCAAGTATGGCAGCACGTGCCTGTAGTCCCAGCTACTCAGGAGGCTGAGCTAAGAGAATCACCCGAGCCCAGGGAGGTCGAGGCTGCAGTGAGCTGTGATTGCGCCACTGCACTCCAGCCTGGGCAACAGAGTGAGACCCTATCTCTAAATAAATAAATAAATAAATAAATGTTAAAACTATAAAGTGGCAAAAAAAAGTATACATATAAATTAAAAAGTGGCAAAACCTCGTCTCTAAAAAAATGCAAAAAATTAGCCAAGTATGATGGCAGACACCTGTGGCCCCAGCTACTTGGCAGGCTGAGGTGGGAGGATGGCTTAAGCCCGGGAATTCAAGACTGTAGTAAGCTGTGATCGCACCACTGCACTCCAGCCTGGGCAACAGAGCAAGATCCCATCTCAAAAAAGAAAGAAAGAGAGAAAGAGAGAGGGAGAGAGGGAGACAGAGAGACAGAAAGAGAGAAGAGGCAGGAGGGAGGGAGGGAGGGAGGGAGGAAGAAAGGAAGGTGGTATCCAAAAGAGAGAGGATTCACACAAGAAAGAGAAAAGGGAACTCCTAAGATGACAACATTCAGCAGTCCTGGGGAGAAACCAATCCAAGAGGGAGCAGTAGGATGAGGCACCAGGCAGATGTCTCTGAGGAATAAGAGAAAGAGACTGAGAGATAATCTAATAGATAATAGAGACTGAGAGATAATCTAATGTGTTGATCATATTGCCAGGAATTTTATAGGTCTGTTAGAGAGGAATCAGTGATATGTATCTAAAAACTAAGCAAATGAAGGTACAGTGGCTCAAGCCTGTAATCCCAGCTACTCAGGAGGCTGAGGTGGGAGGATCTCTTGAGGCCAGTGTTTCACACCAGGCTGGGCAACATAGCAAGACCCGGCCTCAAATAAATAAATAAGATGGTATGACACTTTTTTTTTTTGAGATGGAGTCTCGCTCTGTCGTCCAGGCTAGAGTGCAGTGGCGCGATCTCAGCTCACTGCCAGCTCCGCCTCCCAAGTTCACACCATTCTCCTGCCTCAGCCTCCCGGGTAGCTGGGACTACAGGTGCCCAACACCACGCCCGGCTAATTTTTTGTATTTTTAGTAGAGACGGGGTTTCACCATGTTAGCCAGGATGGTCTCGATATCCTGACCTCATGATCCGCCAGCCTTGGCCTCCCAAAGTGCTGGGATTACAGGCGTGAGCCACCGCGCCCGGCCATGGTACGACATTTCTTAAGGGAATCTGGACAAATGAATGAAAACTAAATATATGTACAACCTTTCACCTAGCAATCCAACATCTAAGGATTTATTCTAAGGAAATAATAGTATGCAAAGATGTACATTCAGTGATGTTTACTGTGGCACTGTTTATTATTATAGAAATAAATTGGAAACACCCTAAACACCCACCAATAGGAGACTGGTTTAATAAATCATGGTACAGCCACACAATGGAATACTACATAGCTGTTAAAAAGGACAAGGTAGATAATTATGAATTAACAAGAGATGACACTCAAGAGATACTATTAAGTGAAAAAAAGGTTGAAAGACAGTAAGTAGAATTTGACATAAAAATATTCATTTAAAAGTCTAGATGTCTATATGCCAAAATATTAATCTTTAGAGATAGAATTATGCAAACACTTTCAATGTCTCTGTACTGATTAAATTTTTATCAGATATTATATTATCAGGAAAAATCATCTAGTTCCATTTACAAAATGAAATAAAAGTAACCCCAAACCCTGAAGAATACAATCATACAGTTTACAAAACACCTTCACAATCATCATTCTGCTTAAGTTTACAAACATCCAAAAAAATAGAGATGTCTTACATTTTGTAGATGAGAAAACACGTTCAGAGGGAAGCAAATGGCCCATGAGCAGTGAAGTCAAGGTCCCAGGACATGATCGCAAGCCCCTAACTTGGTCAGCTCAGCATGGCTTCAGTGCATCTCACTGACTGTCTCTGTTGGCTCCAGATAAACCTGTCAGAACCCTATGAACTCCCTCTGCAACCCAGAAAAATGCTATGTGGGCAGTTCAGGAAATAGGAAACCAAATCAAGGTGATCAGAATATCAGGGGGAAGATGTGCGCAAATGATATGGTTTCAGGAAACCACCAAAGCCGTCTCTTTATGTCACCCAACCCTCATGCCACAGGGACATAACCAACTTTCCAAATGGACCTCAGCCTTTGACAATCCGCCTGCCTCATGGGCACAGAGGGTCCTCAGACATCAGGAGCCCCCCATTCTGGCATCTCTCAGGCAAACCCTCATGTGGCCCAGACCTTCTCCAATCAGCTCTTTCCTCCCAATGTACCTGGTCCTGTGTCTCAGGCCTCAGCTGATCAGATCCACGGCAGCATACGGGGCCCACGCTGAACTTGCTGACACAAAGTAGAAGTCAATAGGAAGAGTGAGAATCACCGTCCGACCAAAGATACGCAAGGATGGGAAATGGATTAGAGCCAGGAAGGCTGGGGCCTGCTGCCCTGAAGTGAGGCAACCCTGCCCGCCTCATCACTCAGCTGGGGTTGAGCAAGACTTCAGTGCTTCGGGAAGGAAAGAAGAAATTCAAGTTCTCAGCCAGGCCTTCAGCCTTCCCATCTCCCCTGCATGTGTAGTTTGGAAGCCACTGGTCTTCCAGACAGATGTCCTGTTCTCTCCTCCACTTTCCTGCCTTCATCCCCGTATTTGGAGGGTAAAGGCATGGGGAAGAGCTGTCACTACTTAAGGTGGGGAGACAGTGAATGCCAGTGTTGTTTGTCTCTCCACAAGGGCCAAGCACATAACATGGTACACAAGAGAATGAACTTGTCCCATAGCCTCCACCTGCCACTTGTAGCTGTGAGAACTTGAAACCGGGCACGGTGGCTGACACCTGTAATCCCAGCACTTTGGGAGGCCGAGGCGAGTGGATCACCTAAGGTCAGGAGTTCAAGAACAGCCTGGCCAACATGGTGAAATCCTGTCTCTACTAAAAATACAAAAATTAGCCAGGCATGGTGGCACACACCTGTAATCCCACGTACTCGGGAGGCTGAGGCAGGAGAATCACTTGAACCCGGGAGGCGGAGGTTGCAGTGAGCCAAGATTGTGCCACTGCACTCCAGCTTGGGCGACAGAGCAAGACTCCATCTCAACAAAAAAAGAACTTGAGCAAGTTGCTTTGCTCTCTGAGTCTCATTTGCCTCATCTATAAACGGAAACAATGCTGGTACTGACCTCATAGTATTTTGTAGGGCTTAAATGAGATAACGTGCGTAATTGGCTCCACCCAAGTCCAATTAGTCCCTTTAGCTGTTAGTGGTTGTCCCCTTCCAGCCCTATCAGATCTGACTCACTCCTTATGGCTTTATTAGGTCAGACACCCTGGTCTAAAGAGTCCCCTGAACACTCTTGCCTCTGCAGTGGCTGTAGGTCTCATGCATCAATTAGTCTTACGATCTAGAAGAAGCACCATTGTTAAGAAGGGCTAGGAGACCCTTCACTAATCATTCTTTTCCTTTTCCCGGGGTGATGTCTTTTCTCCCCAGGGTCAGCCGTGAAGGTAGGGGCTGTGTGGATTTGTCTCTGTATCCCCAGGGGCACTCATCAGAGCCCTGGAGGTTAAGTCCATAAATATTTGTGGATCTTAGAGGTTCATAGAAACATCACCCCTATTTAAAGCATGTGGGTAAACTTAGGGACCTGGGCTGAGGAATCCATAGCAGTGGGACTGAGGCTTTTACAGGATGTGGCAAAGCCATGCACGCAGGCAGGATCAGGGTGACACTTGGCTCCTCTTAGCTCCTCTCGCAAGTTCCTAAAGCTCCTAAAGATGTGAAATAGGGGCGTGTGTGGAAAGCCGCTGCTTGATCTGCCTGGAAATCCTGCCCACCTCCATCTCCAGAAGGAAGGCTGCTTCCTGCTTAGCCTCAGCACACTTAAATCCCCCTCAAAAGCAGCTCTTGGGTTTGCCACCTGCTAATCAAGGCACCTGACCTCTTCCTGGCTCTCTGTCCTCACCTCCTGACACCCTTCTTCTCAGATGATGGATATCCTGACAACTGAGATGGCATCCTCTTCACCCAAGCTGGAGTGCAGTGGTGCGATCTTGGCCCACTGCAACCTCCACCTCCCGGCTTCAAGCAATTCTCTGCCTCAGCCTCCTGAGTAGCTGGGATTACAGGCGCCCACCACCATACCTGGCTAGTTTATATATTTTTAGTAGAGACGGGGTTTCACCATTTTGGCCAGGCTGGTCTTGAACTCCTCACCTCATGATCCACCCGCCTCAGCCTCCCAAAGTGCTGGGATTACAGGCGCGAGCCAATGCACCCAACCCAAGATGGCGCCTTCTTAAGGATTGACCCCCACCACTTGCTTCCTCCAATTTACCACCCTGCCAGGGTAACCTGCCTGACTCCATACTGCTTTAGGGTGCCCCAAGCCTTGTTGAGGTTTACTATGTGCTAGCCACTGTGCAAGTGTTTTATGTACAATATCCTGCTTTAATTCTCAAGTAACTTTCTAAGGTAGAGGCTATTACTATTCCCATTTTACAGATGAGGAAACTGAGACCCAAAGAAGTCATGCAACTTGCCCAAGGTCATGCCGTGAGTGGGCTCACACTCTAACTTGTATTTCAGACATTTCTGTGAAATTGTGTTCACTCTGGTAAACCCTTTGAGAGAAGAGCCTGGATTTGCTTCTCTCTCACCTCCCATATTGCATAGAGATGGAACTTTACACAGCATGTTCTAACAAATTTTAGAACTACTGGGCATGAGTCATCACCAGGGAGCTTGTTAGAAATGCAGAATCTCAGGCCCCACCCCAGTTCTACTGAATCAGAATTTGCATTTTCACAAGAGAAGCAGGTGAGGGTTTGCTCATCAAAGTTCGAGACCATACTGTTCGAAACTGAATTGAATGGATGGTGCTCTACAGAGACACCCACAAGCCAAACAAGCATAGGAAAACAAAGCAAAAATACCTACAGGGCTCCTGATCTTGGGAACTGCACTTCCGGAGGAAGCACAGCGCAAAAAGTTAGGGCTGAGAGGTTCCCCATGCCTCACTCAGTTTCCACTTCCCGGTGCTCCAGCAAGATCTTGGCTGGGAGTCTGGATAGCAACGAGACATCTTTAGAGCGCCACCTGCTGGCCGTGATTAGGTATGTATCGCTCATTTCGGCTCCAGGCATTCCCTCTCAAAGCTGCAGCTCAAGGTCTGAGCCTTCTGTAACGGATCCCTTGGTTCTTTATTTCTGCCCCTTCAACACTCACCATTCACTATTCCTGTCGCTGGTTCAGATAACTCGTTACTCTCTAAATGGCAATGATGCAGCACCCCCATGTTTGCTTAGCCCCTTGACCTTCTCAATTGAGTTCAGCTCATTAGGCATTTGTTGAGCTCCTACTGGGTGCAAAGCATTACGACTTCAACAGAACAGCCTTCTCACGAGCGTCAAAGCAAGTGGTCAGTAAATAAACCAGGCTCTTAGTGTTCTGACTCAGGGTAAAACCACAAAGATTTAATACTGGTCCCTATAAGAAAGCGTTTGCAACATTCACATGGACATTCTTTTTTTTTTTTTGAGACAGAGTCTCGCTCTGTCACCCGGACTAGAGTACAGTGGCGTGATCTCGGCTCACTGCAACCTCCACCTCCCGGGTTCAAGCGATTCTCCTGCCTCAGCCTCCTGAGTAGCTGGGATTACAGGAGCGTGCCACCACACCCAGCTAATTTTTGTATTTTTAGTAGAGACGGGGTTTCACCATGTTGGTCAGGCTGGTCTCGAACTCCTGACCTCATGACCTCATTTAGGAAGGCACAACCTTCCTAAAAGGCAAATTTACAATATTTATCACAAGGCCTTAAAACAATATTATCCTTTGAGTTATCGATTCCATTGCTAGTAATTTATTTTAAGGAAATACCACCAATATATTGCAGTAAAAACACTTACTGCAGACTTTTTTTTTTTTTTTTTGAGATGGAGTTTCACCCTTGTTGCCCAAGCTGGAGTGCAATGGCGCCATCTCAGCGCACCGCAACCCCCACCTCCCGGGTTCAAGCGATTCTCCTGCCTCAGTCTCCCTAGTAGCTGGGATTACAGGTGGATGCCATGATGCCCAGGTAATTTTTGTATTTTTAGTAGAGACAGGGTTTCACCATGATGGTCAAGGCTGGTTTCGAACTCCTGACTTCAGGTGATCCGCCCACCTCGGCCTCCCAAAGTGCTGGGATTACAGGCATGAGCCACTGCGCCCGGCCAACAATTTTTATAATAGGGAAAAATTGGAAACAACCTAAATATGAATCAACATGAGATTAATTAAGCAAATTACTACATCTATTTAAAAAGAGGATCTAAAAGAATGTTTATTGGGATTAAAAGTTAACAATTGAAAAAAAAAAAAAGGTCCCAAAAGCATTCATACAATGTGACCTCATTTATCTTAAAAATAATTATATATCATATGTATAAATACAACTATACATTTTAACATAATTATATATTATATGGCTATATATATATATGCACGCTGGAATAAACACCAAAATATTAATGGTAGTTTTCTGTAGAAGTGGTGTACAGCTTGTATTGTGTGTGTGTGTGTGTGTGTGTGTGTGTGTGCGTGTGTGTTTATGTGTGTGTTAAAATTTTCCACATTTTTTTTCAATAGTAGTGCTATTTTTATCATCCGAAAATAAGATTGTTCTTACTCTGAACTCTGTCCCTGACCCGGGCCTTACCTGTCTCAAGAATTGAGGCCTCCTAGCTGTCCGGGAGGATTTAAGCCCTGGGATGAACACTGCCAACTCAGAAAATCCTCCAAGGCGGCCAGCTCACGTCAAGCACTGTTTCTCCAAATGCTGCCGTGTCCCTGAGAACAAACCTCTCCACTGTCTTGGTGGCTTCCCTCCCCCGCCTGTCCTGAAGCATCTCTGCCCCGGGAGTGGGTCACTTGACAACAGTGAGAGGGAATCCGTGAGGTGGGTGCCAGGAGTGCAGCCCCGCGCTGCCCCGGCTGGCACAAGCTTGGGCCATGACTCAGCCCCTTTCTGCTCACCTGGTGTCCCGCCCTGCTGTCTCCACTTCCTCCCCAGCCCGCACCCTCGGGTCACCGTCCTTCCTTGCTAGTTTCATCCTGTTGAAAGAGTCCAAGCTACTTTTCTCTGAATTCTTTTGTTTGATCCACTTCAGTGGTTTCCCATCGAAAGGGCTCTCGGGTCAAGCATTTCACCCGGGCCTTGGGCTCAGCCACGGAAAGTTCTAGAGTCGCCTGTTTCTAGCTCTGGGATCCCAAGTTTCTGTCCCCTGCGTGGGCGCCAGCTCTCACCCACTCGTGCCAGAGTCCGCATGAGTGGCACTTCAGATGGTACACAAGTGAACCTTTTTATACTTAGAAGTTTGCATTAATTAATTAAAGTTTGTACCGTTTCATGAATTAATTGAGACAGAGTCTTGCTGTGTCGCCAGGCTGGAGTGCAGTGGCTCAATCTCCGCTCACTGCAACCTCCACCTCCCAGGTTCAAGAGATTCTCCTGCCTCAGCCTCCCGAGTAGCTGGGACTACAGGCACGCACCACCACGCCCGGCTAATTTTTTGTATTTTAGTAGAGACGGGGTTTCACCATGTTGGCCAGGATGGTCTCAATTTCCTGACCTCGTGATCCACCCACCTCGGCCTCCCAAAGTGCTGGGATTACAGGCGTGAGCTACCGTGCCCGGCCCCTAATTATATTTTTAAGGTACAGACACTTATATTTGAGGCTGTTAAAGGTATGAATGCTTATGTTTAAGGGTTGTGTTTTGTTTCGTATTTTTTCCCAGGCTGGACTGCAGTGGCGCGATCTCTGCAACCTCTGCCTCCCAGGTTCAAAAGAAATTCTCATGGCTCAGCCTCCCGAGTATCCGGGATTACAGATCCGCTCCACCACACCTGGCTAATTTTTGTATTTTAGTAGAGATGGTGTTTCACTATGGTGCCCAGGCTGGTCTCTAACTCCTGAGCTCAAGCGATCCACTCACCTCCGCCTCCCAAAGAGCCAGGATTACGAGTGTGAGCCACGGTGCCAGGCCAGGCCATGTTTAAGATATTTTTAAGAAATGGATGTTTTTGCTGGGTGCCGCGGCTCATGCCTGTAATCCCAGCACTGTGGGAGGCTGAGGCGGGCAGATCACTTGAGGTCAGGAGTTCGAGACCAGTCTAGCCAACATGGTAAAACTCCATCTCTACCAAAAAATACAAAAGTATTAGCTGGCCGTGGTGGCAGGTGCCTGTAATCCCAGCTACTTGGGAGGCTGAGGCAGGAGAATTGCTTGAACTTCGGGGGCGGAGGTTGCAGTGCGCCGAGATTGCGCCACTGCACTGCACCCCAGCCTGGGTGACAGAGTGAGACTCTGTCTCAAAAAAACAAAAAAAAGAATGGAAAGTAGAATGACTGTGTTGCTCAAACACCCCCTTCACCTCACTACTGGCCCAACACACATGAGTTAGGCTTGAGAAGGCAGCTTTTTTTTACTTAAACATTTATTGGGCTCTAATAATACTGGGTCTTTGTGCCAGAGCCTACAGAGATGTGTGAAATAGGATCTCCCTTCATCGAGGTATTAAAAGATATAGAGGAAGGCCAAGGGCGGTGGCGCACATCTGCGGCGGGAGGAGGGTCAAGGGTCATGTACACACACACTAAAAACATAAAAATTAGCCAGGCGTGGTGGCACATGCCTATAATCCCAGCCTCATGCTGAGCACTTTGGGAGGCCGAGGCAGGCAGATCACTTGAGGTCAGGAGTTCGAGACCAGCCTGGCCAACATGATGAAACCCTGTCTCTACTAAAAACACAAAAATTAGCCAGGTGTGGTGGCGCATGCCTATAATCCCAGCCACTCGGGAGGCTAAAGCAGGGAGAATTGCTTGAACCCAGAAGGTGGAGGTTGCAGTGAGCTGAGATGGTGCCACTGCACTCCAGCCTGGGCAACAGAGCGAAAACCTGTTTCAAAAAAAAAAAAAAAAAAGATGTAGAGGAGATGCCAGGAGAGATGTAATGAGGTAGAAAGGCATTCCAGCCAGGAAACAACCCCCAAAAAAAAGCATGAAAAAAAGATCACAGAGGCCCACAAGCCCAGGGCCTTCAAGGGACCTGAGCTGGAAGCCAGAGCTGTGGCCATGCTGTGTAGCAAAAGATAGCCCAGCAGAGGGGCTGGCTGGAGCAAGTCTCCAGAGAGCAGTGAGGGCTTCATGGGCTCCCTGAGTATGGGCTGTGCCTCAGGGCAATGGGGAGCCGAGGAAGTCTTCAGAGGGAGGGGATGGGATGGGGTGAGACCTGTGGCCACTGCATATTGTTGGGCTGGGGAGCTTGGGAACCAAAGCAGGTGAATTGGGAACGAAAATCAGTTCCTATTCTGCCTGCCAAGCCATGTGCCCTGACACAGCCAGAGAAGAAAGAGGGCCTTTTTCCAATTAACTTCCTAGAGGGAGGCGCCTCTATGTGTTCTGTTCAGAGGTCCAAGGTGTCCCCGGTTCTACCAGCAGTCCTGGGCTATGTAATAATGGGGCAGAGCCCAGGAGGGTGAAACAACAGGGAAGCTTGGGGCAAAGCAAACACTTGAGCTGGCTGGAGCAAGCCAGGCCAGAGCCGACAGCTGCAAATGGGTGGGGAGACCCTCAGGGCTGCACCAACCCAGGGTAATCCCCTGGTCTCACTGTGGAGACTGCAGCCTCACCCGGGACGCCCCAGCGGCATCCTGTGGGGCCACTGAAGCAGCAGATCTCGTCCCCTGGCCTCTGTGTAGGCTTCCCTAGGGACACGGCCATACTTTACTCCATACTTGTGGGGTCCTTTGCCCTCTCTGGTGAGGCCTTCCCATCTGCCCACAGTCACCAGATCAAGCAGGATGCTGAGAAGTGGAGGCGCGGTGGGAGGAGGGTCAAGGGTCATGTGCACACACACACTCATGGCTGGGAGGTGCCCCCACCTCCTGCCCTTGTGCACCGCCTCACTGTCTTCATGCTGAGCACACGTAGGGCAGCCAGCTTGCCTCGCCCTGCCTCCCTTGCATGAGCCCATCCTCATCTGGAGCCAGGACTGGAGCTGGCCCCACCTGGCCAACTATGTGCACTCAGGGCAACAGGGCTGTCTTCAAACAGCACACAACCTTCAGTGTCCCCTATCCGGGCCCTGGTCGGTAATCTAGGCCTGCCCACAACAGCATGGCAAAGATCATTGCCAGGTGTCTTTTCATGGACGGCAGTGATGTAAACAGACCAAGAGTCTCTGCCCTGCCAAAGGTTGGCCTTAACTGTAAACTCGCATTCTCACTCTATCCCATCCCCTTCCCCACCTCTCTTCTCTCCACTGCTTCTGGGTCGGGCCTGCAGTTCCTGGCCCCATGTTTGCTCCCCAGCCTCCAACCCCTCTGCCTTAGATATTCAGGGTGACTCACACTTACTCTTATTAAAATGTCAGCCCTGGCATAAGGTTCCAAATGGCATGAGTGACCCCATCCCATCAGGGTTGCCCCTGCCTGCTGTATCCACTCTGTCCCCACAGGGAGTGGCAGGAAGGTAGTGCAGAGAGCTGCGGAATGCCCCTGCGCCTGGACACCCAGTGTCCCTCCGGGGGAGCAGGAAAGTCAGGAGCTTCATGGATCCCACTTCCCTGGAGATGCTGTGCAGGGAAAGCTGGGGACAGTGAAGATGGTGGGGACAGAGAGCAGGTTACTCTAGAGGCTCCTGGGGGCCCTTTGGGCCTCCATCTGAGCTGAGCCACCTCAACTTCCAGTCCTCCTCCCCTAGCCTGGAGGAAGGAATACCTCTCCAAGCTACCCAGGACCCCAGTGATCTCTGGGGGCAGAGGTTCCCACACAGGCTGCTCCTTAACATCACCTGGGGAAGCTACTGAAAACTCAGATTCAACAACTGTATATGCACCTAAGGGAGAAAGCTCCAAGCTGTGCTGTCCAGTAAAACAAGCAAGATGCACCAGCATGCGTGTGGTGCACACCTTTAGATTAAAAACGGGGAAGGGCTGGGTACGGTGGCTAACAGCCACCTGTAATCCTGTAATCCCAGCACTTTGGGAGGCCAAGGCAGGTGGGTCACTTAAGGTCAGGAGTTCGAGACCAGCCTGACCAACCTGGTGAAACCCTGTCTCTACTAAAACTACAAAAATGAGCCAGGCGTGATGGCGGGCACCTGTAATCCCAGCTACTTGGGAAGCTGAGGCAGGAGAATTGCTTGAACCCGGGAGGCAGAGGTTGCGGTGAGCTGGGACCACGCCACTGCACTCCAGCCTGGGCAACAGAATGAGACTTCATCTCAAAAACAAAACAACAACAACAAAAAAAAAAAAAAAACACGGGGGGAAGGAGGGGCATATTGACTCATGTCTATAATCATAGTATTTTGGGAGGCTGAGGCGGGAGGATTTCTTGAGCCCAGGAGGTCAAGACCAGCCTGGGCAACACAACGACACCTTGTATCTACAGAAAATTAAAAAATTATCCAGGTGTGGTGGCGTGCCTGTGGTCCCAGCTACTCAGGAGGCTGAGGTGGGAGGATCACTTGAGCATGGAAAGTCGAGATTGCAGTGAGCTGCGATTGTAACACTGCACTCCAGCCTGGGCGACAGAGTGAGACCCTATCTCTCAAAGGAAAAAAAAAAACAGGGAATACAAATCCCTATTTGTATTTGTTTGTGTACATATAAATATAAATAATATGCACAAAACTAACTGCTAATAACAGCAGTTACCTTTTTTATTGTGGTAAAATACATATAACAAAATTTACCATCTTAACCTTTTTTTTTTTTTTTTTTTTGAGACGAATCTTGCTCTGTCGCCCAGACTGGAGTGCAGAGGTGTGATCTCAGCTCACTGCAACCTCTGCCTCCCAGGTTCAAGCAATTCTCCCGCCTCAGCCCCCCAGGTAGCTAGGATTACAGATGCGCACTGCCATACCCGGCTAATTTTTGTATTTTTAGTAGACATCGGGTTTCACCATGTTGGCCAGACTGGTCTTGAACTCCTGACCTCAAATGATCCACCCACCTTGGCCTCCCAAAGTGCTGGGATTACAGGCGTGAGTCACCACACCTGGCCCATCTTAACCATTTTAAGTGTACAGTTCCACAGTATTAAGTACGCTCATATTGTGAGCAACCATCACCACCATCCATCCAGAGCGCTCATCTTCCCAAACGGAAACTCTGTCCCTGTTAAACACTCACTCCCCATTGTCCCCTCATCCCCCAACCGGCCCCTGGAAACCACCATTCCACATTCTGTCTCTACGATTTTGACTGCTCTAGGAACCTCATATAAGTGAAATCAATCATACAGTATTTGTCCTTTTGTATCTGGCTTATTTCACTTAACGTCCTCAAGGTTCATCCATGTTGTAGCAGGTGGTAAAATTTCCTTCCTTTTAAGGCTGAATAAATATTCCGTTGTGTGGATGGATCACATTGTGTTTATCCACTTATGTGTTGATGGACATTTGGGTTGATTCCACCTTTTAGCTATTGTGACTAACACTGCTATGAACATGGGTATACAAAGATCTACTTGAGTCCGTGCTTAAATTATTTGGGGTATATATCCAGAAGCGGAATTGATGGATCATACAGTAATTCTATATTTAAGTTTTTGAACCACCGTACTGTTTTCCAAAGAAGGTACAGTATTTTACATTCCCACCAGCAGGGTAGAAGGGTTCCCATTTCTTCATATCCTCACCAACTCCTGTTATTTTCTGGTGTGGTTTTCTTGTTTTGTTTTGTTTTTTGTTTTTTGTTTTTGTTTTTGTTTTGGTCTTGTTTTTGTTTATCCTTTTGAAGGGATCGTTACCTTCTGAAGGGATGCACAGGAAATGGGCAGATGAGGGACAGGGAGGGAGATTAATATTCACTGCAGGTCATTTAACACTTTCTCACTTTTTTTTTTTTTTTTGAGACAAATCTTGCTCCGTTGCCCAGGCTGGAGTGCAGTGGTGTCATCTGGGCTCACTGCAACCTCTGCCTCCCGGGTTCATGCAATTCTCCTGCCTCAGCCTCCCAAGTAGCCGGGATTACAGGCACCTAGCTAATTTTTTGAATTTTTAGTAGAGACGGGGTTTCACCATTTTGGCCAGGGTGGTCTCGAACTCCTGACCTCAGGTGATCCACCCACCTCGGCCTCCCAAAGTGCTGGGATTACAGGCATCAGCCACCGCACCTGGCCACTTTCTAACTTTTGAATCATCTGAATATATTACTTATTCAAGAAGGCACTTTGTTTTTCCAACATGTGTTATGAAAATTTCCAAACATAGAGCAAAGATGAAAGAATTTTACAAGAATCCATACATCCACCACCTAGATTCCACCATTAGCATGCACTATTCTTACATTATCATATATCTATCCATCCATCTATCCAATTATTAAAAATAAGTACAGTGTACTTTCTTGGGCCTCTCCCAAGACCGGCAAGTCATGAGTGGGGCCTGGAAATCAGTTTCTGTAATCTGTTCTCCAGGTGATTCTGGCATTAGGAACTTCTGTCCTGGTCCAGCTACTCACCCCTTGCAGAAACCACACCTGCAGTTAGTCAGTGGTCAGCGGGGGTGGGATTCTTCCCTTGTCTAAAAGCCCCTTAGCCTCACAAAAATGTCTCTCTAAGGAAGATCTTATGTCACTGGGCCAAAATGGTCTCCAGACTCTTCTCCATCCTGGCCAAGCTCTTCCCCAGGACACGCTTTGGTGCCTCATCAACACCACTTCCAATGTGGCCCCAGAACTAGACAAAACTCTACAGCATGACCTGCCCAGGGAAGGGACCCCTGGTCTCGTCCGTCCCTGAGCTGGAACCATTCTTCCATGGTTCAGCGTGCATTTGTCCTTTCTGCTGAGAAGGGGAGAACACTCCAAAATGACATGGCAGTATTTGCAACAGACACCTTATTCACTAAATCAGGACAAGATTGCCCAGGACCCTTGAGTCAGAAAGTGTTTGCATCTCCTTACCCACCTTTAGCCTTCTCTTCTTGCCATAATAATAATAAGGATGATTTCGATGATAATCGATACAGAGAGATAAATGAAGAAATATATTTATATATATATTAGATAGACGAAGAGATTGGATAGATGATAGATAGATAGATAGATAGATAGATAGATAGATAGATAGATAGATCTATGGAGAGATTGGAGAGAGAGATTAGATGGATAGATGGATGGATGGATGGATGGATGGATGGATGGATGGATGGATTAATTGATAGACTAATGGAGAGATAGATAGGTAGATACATAGATACACAGAGATGGATCAGTGGAGAGATTAGGTAGATAGATCAATGGAGAGATAGATTGATTGAAAGATAGATGATTGATTGATGGAGAGATTACATGGATGGATCAATGGAGAGATAGAGATTAGATAGAGAGATGGATAGATGGACAGATGGACGGATGGATCAATGGATAGGTTGATTGATGGATAGATGGAGAGGATAGAGAGAGAGAGATTAGATAGATCAATAGATACATAGATCAATTGAGATAGGTGGATCAATGGAGAAACCAGATAGACAGATGAATTGATTGACTGATAGACAGATAGACAGACATATAGATAGAAAACACTGACAGAGCCCCTCCTGTGTAGCAGGTGTTGTTCCAGGCACATTACTTGCATTCATTCATTTTATTGTCACAACAACCCTATAGAGTAGGTACTATTATCCCCATTTTCTACAGATGAAGCAACTGAGGCGCAGTTTCTACAGATGAAGCAACTGAGGCACGGAAGGATTAAGTAACCTACCCAAAGGCACATGGCATTTTCTCTTTAGTCACCAACACACATAAACACACATAGAGCACTCGTGAATGCTCATGCACTGGTCTAATTTCCCAGAGCTCCCTACCATCAAGTCCTATAGTGTAGTTCCTCCTGGCTAGTATACTTGTGCTCTCAACCTTTGCTGATAACTAATTCCTTCTTCCTGCCAAAATCCAACAGTCCACTTTCCCAGAAACTTGCTAGATGGCTAGAGCTGACCTGAAAAATAAATTCAAGTTAAAGTGTCTCTGGCTGATGCATTTACCTCCTCAGGTAAATGTGTGTGTCCGTGCCAACATATATAAGTATACACAATTTTTTAAGTGGAATTCTTTTTCTTTTTCTTTTCTTTTTTTTTTTTTTTTTTTTTTTTTTGAGACAGAGTTTTACTCTGTCGCCGAGGCTGGAGTGCAGTGGCGCCATCTCAGCTCACTGCAACCTCCACCTCCCGAGTTCAAGCGATTCTCCTGCCTCAGTCTCCCGAGTAGCTGGGACTACAGGCACATGCCACCGTGCTCGGCTAATTTTTTCTATTTTTAGTAGAGATGGGGTTTCACCGTGTTAGCCAGGATGGTCTTGATCTCCTGACTTCATTATCCACCTGCCTCAGCCTCCCAAAGTGCTGGGATTACAGGCTTGAGCCACTGTGCCAGGCCAGAATTCTTTTTTTAGAACACAAACCAAGACAGACAATGATAATAAATATTTACATATTAAAGGTAATTTTCATAGTCAAGCTTCATGACAGGGCCAGTGGAAAAGATATTGGTGCCTTAGGAACTTTATATCACCCCATAAATCACATCACAAAAGTCTAAGGATGGCCGGGCCTGGCTCCGTCTCCTCTCTGGGGGACACACAAGGGCTTGATACTGAGGTATTTGGGGCACCTTTTCAGGAATCCCCAGAAAGCCCTAGGCAGAGTCATGAGCCACATTGTTGAAGGGGCTTAGAACTTTGCAATGCGCCCCTTGGAGATGCCAGTGGAAGGAGAGAAATTTGGAGAGCCCTCTGGGATTAGACTTGCTGGATGAAAATACAGAATGCCCACTTAAATTTGAGTCTCAGATAGAAAAGGAATACTCTTTAGTATAAATATGTCCCAGAGGGCCGCCACAGTGGCTCACGCCTGTAATCCCAGCACTTTGGGAGGCCAAGGTGGGCAGATCACCTAAAGTCAGGAGTTCAAAACCAGCCTTGCCAACATGGCGAAACCCCATCTCTACTAAAAATACAAAAAAATTACTGGGGTGTGGTGGTGCACACCTATAACCCCAGCTACTTGAGAGGCTGAGGCAGGAGAATCGCTTGAACCCAGGAAGTGGAGGTTGCAGTGAGCCGAGCTTGTGGCCACTGCACTCCAGCCTGGGTGACAGATCGAGACTCTGTCTCAGAAAAAAAAAAATCCCAGATATTGTACTGTATTGTACTGGACATATTTATACCAAAAAGCATTCGTTGTTTGTCTGAAATTCTAATTTACCTGGGCATACTGCATTTTCATTTGCTAATCTAGGACCACCTGGAACTCCCAGGGAAAGAACAAGAGAGACTGTGACGACGGCTTGCACTCACGGATCTCTGTCCATGGTGAAGTGGCCGAGTGCACTGGCCTGACTGTCCTCCCCACCAGCTTCAAGGTGTCCATTAAGCCAGGGCCATGACTGATCGGACAGAAGAGGGGTCATCCTGTGTCATCCTATGGGGTCACACACATGCTGGGCTGTGCCTTGGACCCAGTAACTTACTTTTTCAGAAGAAAACTGGTTTCTTGGGGACCTCCTGAGAGGACTGGGAGGGAATCCTCCAAAATGATTTCCAGTTCCCCGAACTTCATTCCTCCATTATTCTTGATGACTTTTTCTTTTTCTTTGAGACAGTCTCACTCTGTCATCCAGGCTGGAGTGCAGTGGTGCAATCTTGGCTCACTCACTGCAACCTCCACCTTCTGGATTCAAGCAATTCTTGTGCCTCAGCCTCCCGAGTAGCTGAGACTACAGGCTTGCACCACCTTGCCCAGCTAATTTTTGTATTTTTAGTAGCAACAGGGTTTCACCATGTTGGCAAGGCTGGTCTCGAACTCCTGGCCTCAAGCAGTCTGCCCGCCTCAACCTCCCAAAGTGCTGAGATTACAGGCATGAGCCACCATACCCAGTGGATGACTTTTTCTCTAATCACAAAAGAAACATACATTCAGGGTGAAAATGCAAACATCACAGAAATATAAAACTTAGAAAGTCTCTCCAGAGATAACTGCTATTAACAGTCTGATGTGTTTTCTTCCAGCTTTTCCTCTATGAATATGATCATGTATTATTATCTTCATAAATAGAATTGTATTACACAGGCTGTTCTGAAAGTTGCTTCCATTTATCATGATGCCGGGGACTTCTTTCCATATCTGTGTGCATTCCTGCTTCACTGGTCTTACTCGCCTCGTTCTTTATGCCAGTGGTGCTGGGTCTTTGGAGTTCTAAGCGCCTTTGGGTGTTCCATGAATGACAAATGCACACAGGCAGATCCCACAAATATATGACTCTGAGTGTCATAGACTTCCCGAGGCTGATCTACTACTGACCCCTTCACCCTGTGCATGGTGTGAGGATAGGGGTGTGGGGGGAAGATGGGGATCACAGAAATGGGTCCAGGAGGGTGGGAAGGACAGTGTGGGTGACTTTCCTATTGATAGGGAGACCCATGCCTGGGGAGCCTCAGTCAAAGGGGTCCTGGGTCACTGCCTCCACTGTGAGACCCTCTGACTCTCCTGAGCACCCACCCCTGGGCTCCTCCTCAAGCTGGGGGTTCCTCTCCTGGCATCCTCAGCAAGATCACCTGACTCCAGCAGCTGCCAACCCCCTGGGCAACGCCAAAGCCTCCTGGCCTCAAACGGGTTGGGCGACATTCACTTCCTCGCGCTGTCCTCCCGACCTGCTCTGTCATTAGGAATTGCCTCGGCGGTGGCGGTCACACTAACAGCAACAGGAGGAGATCGTGCTGCTGCTCAGCACCTCGGGGTGGCTCAGATCTGCTGGAGGCCCCAGGAGGGAAGGTGGATGCTGCTCTCTCCGGTCCCAGCTAAAGTGAGTCTAGGGGCCTGGATGGGCGTGGGGAAGGAGCTTGGCAATGTTGGAAGGTTGCCAACATTGGAAGGATGCAGGAGAATGAGAGAGAGAGAAATTGAGAGAGAGAGAGAAAGAGATACCTGTGGGTGAGCAACTAGTCACAGCTAAAGCTATAGGACCTTGCACTGGGGCTCCAGGAGGGAATCCCAGGTGCCTGGAAGTATCATTCTGTCCCACTGGCTCCTGTGCTGAGGTGGGGATGGGGGGTGTTTTCTCTGGGGTGGGGACACCTGCCCCCACACTCTGTTCCGGAGATGGGCTACTGCTGTGGGGGAGGCTCAGTACTGGGGCTTCCCAAGGTCAGCTCCCTTGGGCCAGCCATTGCCTTCCCCCTGCCTCCCAGGTGGCCAGAGGGGCATCCTTGTTTAGGGTCACTCTAAACCTAAAGAGGAAGGAACTTTGGGTAGTCACTTTTCTAACAGTGCTATTTCTTCTATTCCTTTGACCAAAGTCTGAAGACAAAGTCTTAAGCTCTGAGCCTCAGGTCCCTTATCTGTAAAATGAAGATAATCCCTACGCCCCAGCCTTGTTGTCAGGATCAGAAGAGGAAGGGATGCAAAATGCCAAGCATATAATTAGGATTCAATAAATGGTCGCTGTTGTAAATAATAATAATTATTTATTATTAGCTCAATACTGGTCCCACTTCACCTAGGAATACTTTCCAGCCCTCCTCTCCCCTCAGTTTCCTAAGGCACCAACAGGGATGCTTTGGCACTTACTGCATTCTTCTTCAACTCGTTTGTGCTCAAACTAGAGTATGTTCCTTGCATTTCTTCTGTTGCCCTCTCCCTCACCCCAGCATCCAAACAGAATCATACCATAAGAGGAACTCAAGGATGGGGAATGGAATGGGATTCAGAAAGCGAGAGAGGCAGAGGGAGGGGTCAGGGAAAGACTGAGAAAGGGAGGCAAGAAGGTGGGGAAGGAGGTAGCATCGTCCAGGTGTTGACGGCGTGGCTCTCCGGAAGCACGGGACGGGGGAAGGATTGCCCAGAGAGGCCATCGTTGGAAGCGGGAAGGACTGTCCAGAGAGGCCATCATTGGAAGGGGGAAGGATTGTCCGGAGAGGCCATCGTTGTAAGAGGGAAGGATTGCCCAGAGAGGCCATTGTTGGAAGGGAGAAGGATTGCCCAGAGAGGCCATCATTGGGGCCTCGGATGTCTTCTGCACTCCCTGGGTCCTTTTTACTTTTCCTCTAACTCGGATGAAAAGTAGAGGCTCTCCTTCTCCTTCCCTGCTCGTCTCAAGGAGGACGGTGCTTTCTAACTTGGCTAATACCTACTCACCCAATCTATCAGCTGATTCTAACAATGTTCTACCATCTACGGAATCTTCTCTGTCTCGGTTAACTCCCTCTCCGTCACCTTCACCGGTCACCTCAGGTGACTCACTTCCCTCTCTCTAGACATGGATCTGCTCATCTCTGAAACTAGGAGCTTCAACTAAGTGATCTCTAAAGTCCTTTTTCCCTCTAGTATTCCTTATTTGCTCTTCTTGTCAGCCTTGGTCTCTACTTCTCAGTTATCCAAACAACTTAAACCATTGATCATCAATACTCCTTTCAAAAAAATATCTTTTTCAAGAAAACTTATAAATGTCCACTAGGCTCTAAAGTTTTATAAGAACTTCCTTGGCCACTACTTATCCCCAATATGTAAGTCAGTACCTAGCACATAGCAGGTGCTCAATAAATATGTGTCGAATAATTAGACAGATGGATGGATGGATAGAAGGATGGAACTCTTGCCATCATACACTCTGGGGAGTTATGAAATGCAGGGAAACATATTAATAGTTGATTGGCTTAAGAAAATCATGCCCATCCTGATTATAATGGCTGTTTGGTATAAACATTTGCAAATGTGTTATGAAATAACTACCAAGAAAGATTGGAATAACCATTTAAATTATTATCCATTGCCCATCACTTATCTTATCCATTGTCATCTTGTTCCGTTATTCTAATTTGAGGTGAGCTGCCCTCTGTCAAGTGGGTGCGATTTTTTAATCATCCACATACTAAGGAACATTTGGGGATGAGAGGGAAGGAAAGGAAGGCAAATGCTGTGGCTGCCTCAAGAGCTGTGACAGGGGTCTCCAAGTCCCCTTTGGGAGAAGAGGGGACAGGACATGGTCTGTCTTAATAATGACAACTGCCATTTACTGAGCACTTACTCTGAGCCAGACTCTTCACTCACATTAGCTCACTTAATTCCCCCAACAACTCTCCGAGGAAGATGATACCATTATTATCAATTTCATCTTATGGACAGGAAACTGAGACTCAGAGAGGTTAAACAACTTGGCTAAGCTTATACAGACAGTAATGGGTAGATCAAAGATTTGAACCCCCATCCCCCATCCTGGGGGCCACATTGACCATCTCAAAGACCAAAGCTAGAAACTCCCAAAGAGGTTTGGGGGCCTCCTCCAGGATCCCAGATTCCTTATCCCACCTCCAAATATTTTTGCTCTTTGACTATGGGACATTTTCAACTCGGCAAAATAGATTTGGAGCCAAGCCAAGAGAGGGAGGGATTCTGAAAGATTTGTGATCTTAACAGTTGTCCTTCCTACACATTGATTTTGTTCCCACTATGTCATCTCTCAGGTCTGGGGGCTGCCATGCAACTCTATTTTATCAGTGTGTCCAGGGGTCTTTTGTCTCTGTCATGGATGGAAGAAAGCAGCAATAACAAGGAATCATGGTTCTTTTTAAAGAAGCTGTTCCAGATAAGTTTAGGCTACACAGTTGTGACACTGGGAACTTTTCAGTGCGGACACTTGGACCTCACCACACACCCCAGTGGATGTTTCCCTTCAAAGCCATCGACTTGGGAAGCCATGTAGTTAATCAAACAAATCTGCTCTCAGATTCTGTTTAAAACCCATCTTGTGGCCAGCGCCTTGGCTTGCGTCTGTAATCCCAGCACTTTGGGAGGCCAGCCGAGGCGGGCGGATCACCGGAGGTCAGGAGTTCAAGACCAGCCTGGCCAACATGGTGAAACTCTGTCTCTACTAAAATTACAAAAATTAGCCATGGGTGGTGGCATGCACCTGTAATGCCAGCTATTTGGGAGGCTGAGACAGGAGAATCTCTTGAACCCAGGAGGTGGAAGTTGCAGTGAGCTGAGGTTGCGCCACTGCACTCCTGACTGGGCGACAGAGCAAAACTCCCTCTCAAAAAAAAAAAAAAAAACAAACCATCTTGTTACTTTATATATCTTGTTACTTTATATCTTGCTACTCCATAGCTTTGATTTCAAACAATATCATGCCACTTGATCACTCATTTACTTTCCTATCAGACTTGGCTACCAGTGACTTCTGGGCATTTCCAAAGTATCAGACATATTCTCAAAGGATGAAATTCTGTCTCCATCACGGTTAATCAGATGCTTCTCTCACTGCCTCAGGCAGCCCCATAAGAAGAATTTGGAGAATGACTGAGCTGTGGCAGGTGAGGGAATGAACCTAAAGCTCCCTGACGTGACTATGTGGAGGGCCAGCAGGCATTTGAATGTGTAAGTTCTAAGCTTTGTTTTTTTAAACAGTCATTGCTTTATAGCCACACTTAGCACAGAGGAATGCAATCCAATGGCTGGAGGAAATCCAATGGACCCGCCAACCCCAGGTGAGGGCAGAGGTTGAGACTAGCACGGGCTTTTCTGGAAAATGGCCACTCTGGGTGCAGGTCCAAATTGGAGACTGGACTGGGGCTGTGCATGCATCTTCTTAGCCACCTGCTTCCCCTGGTAACAGGGACTTCCTTTCTTCACTTCCGTCACTGAAGCAGGAAGAGGTGAGGCAGTGACCTCACCATGTGTGTACATGATGATTGAGGTGAGACATCAGGAACTCCACACACCTCCTCCTGGGGTCCAGTGTGACTGGGTTCTCTGGTTCTCTGTCTCCCGATTCTCCCTTCCAGAAGCATCTGCTCCTCTCCTCCTAAGGGTCTGGGTTCTAGGTTTGAGTCAGGTGGGCCATAGAGGAGGAGCAGCAGAAGAGCCAAGAGTAGGAGGAAGAGAGAGGAGGCAGAAGACAGGGAGAGGGGATAAGGGGCAGTGGAGGCAGAGGTGTAGGTGGGAGTTAGGACGGGGGAGGGAAAGAGGAAATGCCCCAATATTCACAACCCTTCCCGTCCACAGCTGAGCGTGCCATCTCCCAGTGGCCATGTCAGAAGGGGAGAGCAAGGACAGCTCGGGCAGTGAGTGCCCCGTGTGCTATGAGAAGTTCCGGGACCTGGAGGGCGCCAGCCGGACGCTGAGCTGTGGCCATGTGTTCTGCCATGACTGCCTGGTCAAGTACCTGCTGTCCACCCGCGTGGATGGGCAGGTCCAGAGGACCCTGGTCTGCCCCATCTGCCGCTACGTCACATTCCTCAGCAAGAAGAGCTCCCGCTGGCCCTCCATGCTGGACAAGAGCTCCCAGACGCTGGCTGTGCCCGTGGGCCTGCCCTCCGTGCCCCCACTGGACAGCCTGGGCCACACAAACCCCCTGGCCGCCTCCTCCCCTGCCTGGAGGCCACCTCCAGGCCAGGCCAGGCCGCCAGGCAGCCCGGGCCAGAGCGCCCAGCTCCCCCTGGACCTGCTGCCCAGCCTGCCCCGGGAGTCACAGATCTTTGTCATCAGCCGCCACGGGATGCCCCTGGGGGAGCAGGACAGCGTGCTGCCCCGCCGCAGCCTGGCAGAGCTCTCGGAGGCCTCCCTGGCGCCCCGCTCCGCCCGCGCCTTCTGCTGCCGATCGCGGGCCCTGCTGCTCATCACGCTCATCGCTGTGGTGGCCGTGGTGGCCGCCATCCTGCCCTGGGTGCTGCTGGTGAGGAAGCAGGCGTGAGCCGCACCTCAGGGAGGCCGCCGGGCTAGCCGTGGCCTGGGGTGGGACAGGAGGCCCACGGCAGCCCTGGTGCCACCAAGCTCCGAGGGGCACGCGGGCAGGCAGAGGGGAGGACCTGGGCACAGAGAGGGCCTTGGGCTTCCCCGACCCCCGCAGGGGCTTCCGCTCGACAGAGAGGCTGGAGCTGACTCCATGCGCGCGGCGCGTGTTCCCCACGTGAATCCTCAGCAGATGCGTTCCCCTTCCTCTAGGCTGGGAAGATGGGTGGTCACTGCCCTCCTGCAGGCTCACCAGCCCTGAGCGGCAGACCTTACCTGCCAGGTGACCTGCCCAAAGCCAGGTGGGCCCCTCCAGGGACAAGAAAGTCCTGCAGGCAGACGTCCTGCTGGGCTGGCCGATGGCAGGATCCTCCAGGCCAGAATTCCCACCCAGGATTTGCGGCTTGCCCTCGGGAACAGACAGAAGGGGCGCCCAGAATCTCAGCACTCACCCCCGACCTCCACCACAGCACCCCATCCCCTAACCCTCCCTGTCCCCAACCTGCCAGCTTAGAAGGGCTTCCCTGAAGGAGAAGCTGATCTCAGAGGCTGCCCCAGAATTTCTGGGAGAATGAACAGAAACTGTTCTTCCTGCAGAGCTGAGGCCAGATCCAGAGACAGGGGTTGGTTGATAGAGGCCACCCCAGCAGAGTGCCCCACGAACGGAGCCAGAGGTCTCCCTGAGCCCTCCAGGCCAAAGGAGGGATCCAAACTTTGAGTCCTGGGGTTCTCAAGGGTGGCAGGGAGTGGAGGGGAAGCCTGACAGGCGAGCCTTGAGTCAGCTGAGAACTATGTGGGCAAACGAACCCCTGGGGGCTCCCGCCTCCCTCCCAGCTAGTCCTCCTCCTCATGACCCAGCCACTCATTTAGAGGCCACACCAGCTGGGCCAGTTTCCTAGGTGGATTGCCAGGCTGGGCTGGGTGAGGAAGGGTGGGGAGGAAAACAGCTGTGCTTGTCAGGGACGCCGCCATCTCAACCGAGAAATGCTGAGGCCCAGGTGCCCTCAGCTGCTCCTCAAGGTCTCTTTGCCTGGGGCCCCCACGTTGGACTGTGAAGAGCCTCAGGTTGGGTCTAGCCTGAGTCATTCGGGGATAGCTATTGGCTGTTTATTGAGGTCCGTAAGTCAACCAACACCTTTCAATGGAAAACAACAAAAACCTCCAGCAATTATCTCAACTAAGTGGTGGTCTGCACCCAGCTGTGCCCACAGCTGAGCCCCCAACCTCCCTCAACCTATACCCCTCTGGGCAATTTGCTGTCTTGGTGGGGAGGGAAGAAATAGCAGTCTACGTTTTATCTAGTTCCTAAATGCCTGCAGTGCTGGTCATTTGGGGACCGCTGGGGAATTGGGCCCCACTACAGGGGATATTTGGGACATAGAGAGGGCTGCTTTAAAAGCACTTGTGGGCTTCTCTGTGCTCATTTCAAGATTACAGAAGTGGCCAGGCACGGTGGCTCATGTCTGTAATCCCAGCACTTTGGGAGGCCGAGGTGGGTGGATCACAAGGTCAGGAGTTCGAGACCAGCCTGGCCAATATGGTGAAACCGCGTCTCTACTAAAAATACAAAAATTAGCCAGGAGTGGTGGCACGTGCCTGTAATCCCAGCTACCTGGGAGAGACAGAAGATTCGCTTGAACCCGGGAGGCGGAGGTTGCAGTGAGCCGAGATCGCGCCACTGCACTCCAGCCTGGGTGACAGAGCGAGACTCTGTCTAAAAAAAAAAAAAAATTACAGAAGAGCACAGGTGCTATTGGAGGGGAGGGATACAGATGGATTCCATGGGGAAAATATTTATTATAGGAATAAAAATAATGTTAAATTTGCAAAGACTCCAATGAGTCTCTTTTAACCTCAGCCAGGCTGTTTTAAACAGTGTCATGAATTTCTGGGAACCTGGTTCTAGTCTTTTCAGATTCTGTCGTATTTGCCAAAAGTTTCTTTCAACATACTCTCAGTGTTTTTGTATGTTCAATGGTGACCTGTAGCTGCAACTCCTTTTATTGTCAGAGAATGCCAAAAGCTATTTTTAAAATAAAGGTATATATTTTCTCAAAGATTCCAGAGACTCTGCAATTTATGTGGGAAGCTCCGAGCCTGGACTTGAAGGACAATTCACTTTAGGTGAAAAAGTTTGATGCGGTGTCTCACTCCTGTAATCCCAGCACTTTGGGAGGCCGAGGCAGGTGGATCACGAGGTCAGGAGTTCGAGACCAGCCTGGCCAGTATGGTGAAACCCCATCTCTACTAAAAATACAAAAAATTAGCCGGGCATGGTGGCGCACGCCTGTAATCCCAGCTACTCGGGAGGCTGAGGCAGGAGAATCGCTTGAACCTGGGAGGTGGATGTTGCAGTGAGCCGAGATCATGCCACTGCACTCCAGCTGGGTGACACAGCGAGACTCTGTCTCAAAAAAAAAAGAAAGAAAGAAAAGAAAGAAAGGAAAAGAAAAAGTTTGAAATGCAAACAGAAATGGCTCTTACACATCTATTCAACCACAGTTGCAAAAGAAATTAAAATTAAAATTTGGCTGGCATGCCATTTTTCACCTATGAGCTTGTCGAAACCTGGAAGCCTCATAACCCACTCCGCTACTGAAGCTGAGGGAGGCAGAGGAATGGTTAGTGGGAATGTGTATTATTAAAATCCCTATCAAGGGCAATGTGACATTATCTACCAAAATTTCTGCTTTGCTCCAGCAATTCCTGTTCTAGAAACATCCTACAGATATACTTGCATGTATGGGCAGCAGCATACATGTGATGCTATATAATTGCAGCATTGTTTATAAAAATAAAGGATTGGAAAAACCCTAAATGCTAATCAATAGGGTACTGGTTATCTATCTTAAGGTCCAGGGAATATCATGCAGCTGTAAAAGAAAAAAAAAAAAAGAACAAGAAAGGACTCAATAAACTTATATGGAATGTCTCCAAGGTACAATGGAAAATGAGGAAAAGCAAGGTGTGGAACACCGGATACTGGATACTACAATTTGTATAGAAAGAGCAGGAAATAGGCCAGGCACAATGTCTCACGCCTGTAATCCCAGCACTTTGGGAGGCCGAGGCGGGCGGATCACCTGAGGTCAGGAGTTCAAGACCAGCCTGGCCAACATGGTGAAACCCTGTCTCTACTAAAAATACAAAAATTAGTCGGGCTTGGTGGTACGTGCCCGTAATCCCAGCTAATAGGGAGGCTGAGGCAGGAGAATTGCTTGAACCCAGGAGGCGGAAGTTGCAGTGAGCTGAGATCGCACCGTTGCACTCCAGCCTGGGCGACAGAGCAAGACTCTGTCTCAAAAAAAAAGAAAAAGAAAGAAAGGGGGGGGAATAAGAATTTACATTCCTATTTGCTTACTTATGCATCAAAAAAGTGGGAATGCAGGGCACGGTGGTTCATGCCCAGCACTTTGGGAGGCCAAGGTGGGAGGATCACTTGAGGCCAGGAGTTCAAGACCAGCCTGGGCAACATAGTGAGACCCTATCTCTATTTTTTAAAAAAAATTGTAATTACCTTGTGGTGGCGCACCTCTGTAGCCCCAGCTACTCAGGGGGTTGAGGTGGGAGGGTCCCTTGAGCCCAGGAGGCTGCAGTGAGCTATGATTGCACCAGTGTACTCCAGCCTGAGCAACAGAGTAAGACCTTGATGACAGAAAGAAAAGAAAGACAAGAAGGGCAGAAGGGAGGGAGGGAGGGAGGGAGGGAGGAAGGAAGGAAGGAAGGAAGGAAGGAAGGAAGGAAGGAAGGAAGGAAGGAAGGAAGTTGGGAAGATGTACAAAACACTAATAATTCTGACTAGCCATGGAAAGGAATGAGAAAATGATGGAATGGGAAGGGGAGTTTTCACTTTACCTTTTTTTTTTTTTGAGACGGAGTCTTGCTCTGTCGCCCAGGCTGGAGTGCAGTGGCGCTATCTCGGCTCACTGCAAACTCCGCCTTCAGGGTTCACGCCATTCTCCTGCCTCAGCCTGCCGAGTGGCCGGGACTACAGGCACCCGCCACCAGGCCCAGCTAATTTTTTTGTATTTTTAGTAGAGACAGGATCTCACCGTGTTAGCCAGGATGGTCTTGATCTCCTGACCTTTTGATCCACCCACCTTGACCTCCCAAAGTGCTGGGATTACAGGCGTGAGCCACTGCGCCCGGCCTCACTTTACCTTAAATTTATCCCTTTTGATGTTTGAACCAAGTAAATTTAACATTCAAAAACTGAATTGAAAAATTATTAGAAGCTAAAGATATCTTCAGTGTACACGCCTGTTGCCAAGTAAGATTGCCCCAAGAACAGTCAAGAGCTGCCAAACCACCTGTCCTGTGGTTCGAGAGTGTCAACTACTGGTTTAGTGGGGCTGGTTTGTCTGGTTGGAGGTGTGACATCTTATGCTAACAGGCGCCCAAGGAGTAAGGTTTAAAAATTTAATGTTCTCAGTGTTCCTGAGTTCCTGAGCATTTCTCTGGGCCCCGTCATTGAATGTGCTTATTTTGATTCCCCCTTCTCTTCTTTTCCTCTTTGTTTTCAAATAAAATCTTTTGTTTTAAGCAACCATCATGCAGTGAGGGCACTACAGGACAATACCATTACACAGACAGAGATAGACAGATAGACAGATAGATAGATACATAGATAGATAGATAGATACATAGATAGTAGATAGATAGATAGATAGATAGATAGATAGATAGATAGATAGAGGGATGGATGCCTAGGGTTAAACTTAGTTGCTTTTCTCTTCCTCCCCTTGTCCAGAGGCACCCCAACCCCTGCAACACACACACACACACACACACACACACAGCCACTTCCCATCATAATAACCTTTAACAGTAATACACACTTACACAGTCTGAGCCTACCAGTCAAGCTTAAGGATCCATAGCATTGCCAGCAGGGCCCTGACGAGGGTTGCCAGGATCCTGGACAGGCATATTAGAGACCTCTGTGCCCCTCAGAAACAGTTCCATAACCTCTCCCCTCACTGAACCCTGTGTGACTCACAAGACCACTCAGCTGCTATCTCCTTTTGACCTCCTTGTCAGTATAAATGTCCTTTTTGGGTCCAGGTGCAGTGGCTCATGCCTGTAATCCCAGCACTTTGGGAGGCCGAGGCAAGCGGATCACGAGGTCAGGAGTTCGAGACTAGCCTGGCCAACATGGTGAAACCCTGTCTCTACTAAAAATACAAAAATTAGCCAGGCATGATGGCGTGCACCTGTAATCCCAGCTACTCAGGAGACAGAGGCAGGAGGATCGCTTGAACCCGGGAGGTGGAGGTTACAATGAGCCAAGATTGTGCCACTACACTTCAACCTGGGCAACAGAGTGAGACTCCATCTCAAAAAAAAAAAAGTCCTTTTTCAGGGACACACAATAAACAACTTTGCCTCACCCTTACAACTCCTCCTCCTACCGGGATAAATTAACTCCACAGCTCATTCTCAGCACAAACCACTTGCAGTTCCCAATATGCAGTGGGGTGCAGGCCTGGGCCTTTGCTTATGAGCCTCACTCCGCCTGAAACACACCCCCCCACCCCAACCCCCACTCCACCCCATCTACCTGGAAAACTCCTACCTAGCTTTTCAGAAACAGTATAGTTCCAGGGTTACCTCTGAAGACGTGCCCACTTCCTTGCTCAAGGGAACTGCCAGCTCCTACGCCGCCCCCCCATCCCCCACAAAGCATCCATCGGTGACACTTGATTATGCTTATCTGGTCACATCTGTCTCCTCCTTAACGAAGTGCTCCTTCCGGGGAGGCTAGATCTTATAGATCTTGGTATCTCCAGTGCCTGACACAGAATTTAGTAAACAGTAAGAGCTGGAGAAATATTTGGAGAATGAGTGAATGAATGAATAAACCTGACAGCTTGGTGTTTAGAAAAAAGTTAAGTCTAATCAACTCTGGGTGTGGAATCTAGCTATAATCCCTGCTTTGCTATGTCTGAAGGCTTCAAAATGATCCTAAAGGGACCTTTTTCAAATCCAGGAAGAGGAATGTGGGCAGCGAGGGAGAGAGAGTGCAGTCAGACTAGGCTGCAGGGTGAAGGCAAGACACCCAACAGACACGTTAAGAGAAAGGGGGCCGGGCACGGTGGCTCACGCCTGTAATCCCAGCACTTTGGGACGCCAAGGCGGGCGGATCACGAGGTCAGGAGATCGAGACCATCCTGGCTAACACGGTGAAACCCCGTCTCTACTAAAAATACAAAAAGAAATTAGCCGGGCATGGTGGCGGGAGCCTGTGGTCCCAGCTACTCGGGAGGCTGAGGCAGGAGAATGGCGTGAACCCGGGAGGCAGAGCTTGCAGTGAGCCGAGATAGCGCCACTGCACTCCAGCCTGGGTGACAGAGCCAGACTCCGTCTCAAAAAAAAAAAAAAGAGAGAAAGGGACGGCCAGGCGTGGTAGCTCACGCCTGTAATCCCGGCACTTTGGGAGGCCGAGGCAGGCAGATCACTTGAGGTCTGGAGTTCGAGACCATCCTGGCCAATGTGGTGAAACCCCATCTCTACCAAAAATAAAAAAATTAGCCAGCCGGGAGTAGTGGCTCATGCCTGTAATCTCAGCTACTCAGAAGGCTGAGGCAGGAGAATTGCTTGAACCCAGGAGGCAGAGGTTGCAGTGAGCAGATATTGCGCCACTGTACTCCAGCCTGGGTGACAGAGCGAGACTCCGCCTCAAAAAAAAAACAAAAAACAAAAAAAAACAGATAGGGACGTTCTAACTAGGCTACTGGCCATTTGCATCTGTATGGACAATTTGTACCCTGCAAATTTTCACATTGTATCAAGTGTCATGCTGTATGGATGGTGGGCTGAAGGTTTAATTTTTTTTTTTTTTGAGACAGAGTCTTGCTCTGTCTCCCAGGCTGAAGTGCAGTGGCATGATCTCCACTCACTGCAAGCTCCGCCTCCCAAGTTCATGCGATTCTCCTGCCTCAGCCTCCCGAGTAGCTGGGATTACAGGTGCACACCGCCACGCCCGGCTAATTTTTTTTTTTTTTAGTAGAGATGGGGTTTCGCCATGCTGGCCAGGCTGGTCTTAAACTTCTGGCCTTAACTTCTGACCTCAAGTCTGCCTGCCTCGGCCTCCCAAAGTGCTAGGATTACAGGCGTGAGCCACCATGCCCGGCCTGAAGGTTTCATTTTGAGACTCGGTATTGAACAGAGGGAGAAAGAAAGGAAGGCCTGGGAGGGTAGGGTGTCAGCAGAGGATGTGAGGGCTGAGGAAACAGAGAGGGCCTTGGTGGGAAGACAGGAAGACGATGGGGACACCCGAACAGGAAGGGAGTTGGGAAACTAGTAAGGACAGTAGGAAGAAAGAGAAGGAGTGACAACGTGAAGGCCAGAAAGGCAAGGCAAGGAAGGAAGGCAGGCACCTTCGGCAGCTCCCTAGGACTTCCAGACCCAAATCACACTCAGCTCAGCCCTAGAGCCCCTGGGCTCCCGTCTAAATGCCTCTCTTCAGCGGCAAGGACCTGGTTCCTGGAAAACACGAGTCACGCTGCTTCACACCTCCAAGCCTTCCTTCAAGCAATTCCTACTGCCTTGTGGAGCGAATGCTAACATTCTTCCAATTCCAGTCAATGCTGACCTCACCTCAGAAGTCTTCCCTGACCCCAGAGCTCCCTTCTGCTCCTGAATCACAGAGACAGCAAGGGCAGCTGGCTCAGCGAGCACTTTTCCTGTGGTCTCGTGGCTGTTGATTCCCTTGTCTATCTTTTCTTGTAGACAGTAAACTTCCTGAAGGCACAAACTTTGACCTATTTTGCATCGCCAGTGTCTAGTTTCAGGGCTGGCCCAGGAAAGAAGCCTCATAAATATTTGTTGAAAAGAGTCGCAGCAGAGGAATTCTTGCTGAATTTTTCAGTGATGAATAAAATCTAGGGCTACTTCCTTCACAGCATATTTAAGAACACAACTATTTTTAAATCATGAAAACGCATGTTCGTTGCTGACCATCCTCTGGGCAGTCCTGACTATGAGGTTCCCACAAATTGGGGCCATATACAGTTCCCAGAAGAGGCCGGGGAGCCAGCCTGCACGGGTTCTGCTGTGACTTATGGGTCCTGTATAACCTTGCACCAAGTTCCTCTCATTTCTCTGTGGCTGAGTTGCCCAATCTGTAAAATGGGGACAATAATACCAGCAACAACAGAGCCATTTTGTGGATTAAAAGAATTCATGATGTAAAGTGTAGAGAAGAGCGTCCCCACACTCAGAAGGCTCACTACGTCTTCGGTATTCTTGTGAAACGCCTGTCCTCTGTCACTGTGACACCCGTGTCATTCATTCAGCAGAAGCCGTTCAGCGCCGGTGCCTGCTGCACTGCCGCTGCCTCAGAAACCATTTGCAGGGGCCGGGCGCGGTGGCTCACGCCTGTAATCCCAGCACTTTGGGAGGCTGAGGCGGGCGGATTGCCTGAGGTCGGGAGTTCGAGACCAGCCTGGCCAACATGGTGAACCCTCGTCTCTACTAAAACTACAAAAATTAGCCGGGCGTGGTGGCGGGCGCCTGTAATCCCAGCTACTCAGGAGGCTGAGGCAGGAGAACCCGGGAGGCGGAGGTTGCAGTGAGTGGAGATCGTGCCAGTGCGCTCCAGCCTGAGCAACAAGAGCGAAACTGTCTCAAAAAGAAGAAAAAGACACACACACACACACACACACACACACACACACACACACACACACACACACACACACACACACACGAAGAAGAAGAAAAGAAACCATTTGCAGGG
Organism: Homo sapiens; assembly: GCF_000001405.40. Classification (NCBI taxonomy): domain Eukaryota; kingdom Metazoa; phylum Chordata; class Mammalia; order Primates; family Hominidae; genus Homo; species Homo sapiens. The sequence goes on along the minus strand of NC_000017.11, from coordinate 8,384,020 downwards.
AGCGCACGGCTTCCGTCTGGTCCTGAACTGGACGCAAACAGGCCGAGCATTTAGAAACCCGCGCAGCTCCCCGCACCGAGAGGCTTCCTCTCGCCTGGCTCCTTCGAAGCGTGGTCTGGACCAGCACCTCCCACAGCACTGGGGGCGCCTTGGAAACGCGGCCTTGGACCTATTTCCGCGGGGGCAGGCGGCGATCGGTGGCCCTGGTCCTCGCAAGGCCCCTCACCACCCAGAACTGAATCTCTGGCGGGCCCTGCTGTGCGGTCAGCAGACGCCCAGGTGCAGGGGCGGTGGCCGGCGTCGCGGTGGAGCTCGTTAAAGTACCGGCACGCTGGCCGCGCCCACGCCACGGGCGGGAGGGGACGGTGAGTGCAGGGACCCAGGCGACCGGCCGGCCGGCGTCCCCGCGCCTCCTGGCGGCCAGAAGCAGGGCCTGCGCTTCCCCGGCTAAGGGGTGCCGGCCCCCGCCCCGGCACCTGGGAGTGAAGGTACCAGCGGGTCTCCTGGGCGGTCTCCTGGGGCCGCTCGTTCCTTCATCACCCCCAGGGGCAGTTGGACCCTGAGCAGCCTTAGCCAATAGCCCCGGGACTACCCTTCCCAGAGGATTCAGCGGCAGCACCCGGGTCTCGGAAGGGAGACACTAGGACCTGGAGGAGGGGAGTTTTGCAATCCCTCGCAGTTCCCCTCCTAGCCACTAGGTGACACTAGCCATAAATTTATTTCCCAGTTTACTCCCCTCGCTCAAACTCCGCGCCCCTCTCGCTCCGAGAGACATAGGTCTCGCGAGATCTTTGGTAAACTTACAGAACCGGAAGCAGCGTGTAGTTCTCTTCCCTTTTGCGGCCATCACCGAAGCGGGAGCGGGTAAGGATTCGGCGGGCAAGCGGGTGTAATCAGCAGCCATCCGTTCTTGGGCATGGTGGCTTCCGACCGCGGGGACCCCGAGAGTCTCTTGTCGGCCGAGTAGCAGCCAGGAAGGAGAGACTGGGATGGTTTTTTATCTGTTGCTTTCTTAAATCAAGGGCCGCCGGGCCGGAGATGGATGGAGGGACCGGGGATTTGGGAACTCGAAAACGAGCTGAGGGAAGGGAGCCTGTGGAAATAGACTGGAGTCTGGGTAGTGTCGTTTCCTAGAGAATGGTCTCGAAGTAACTTCTCGGTAAAGTCTTCACGGAATTTCCAGACCACACTTGCCCACTGGGAGGCTTTTAGGACCCGAGACGTGTGCAGGCTTTTCCAGGTTCGGGTTGGTGGGCCTTATTCATTTTGGCGGGGCTATACGTATTCACTCTTAAGCCTGTAGAAGATGAACGTTGATTGTACCTTCTAAAACGTGAGGTTATAGTTAAGAGAATTGCGTTGTCGGTCTGCTCAGCAGAGATGTAAGTCCAGTCTTGATTTCCTCAGGCACTACTTGAGGAGTTGGGAGAGTGTAACTAAAAGGTCTTATAACTAGGACAAGTGTTTTTGATGCAAAAGTCTTTAGTCCGTAAACATATACAGAAAACACCCGAATAAAACAAAAAATAAAAAGTTTCGAGCTTCGGTTGATAGGCCCTTCCGATCAAACAGTTTTTGTTGAAGTTGCACAACATGACACTGCCTATGATCATTCTAGACTATCAAGATAAAATCATTGCGGTTATTTGTTTGGAAGCTGGATGAGATTTTGGTCATTTAAGAGTCTTTTTAACTTTTTATTTAGCCAAAATGAAGTTTAATCCCTTTGTGACTTCCGACCGAAGCAAGAATCGCAAAAGGCATTTCAATGCACCTTCCCACATTCGAAGGAAGATTATGTCTTCCCCTCTTTCCAAAGAGCTGAGACAGAAGTACAACGTGCGATCCATGCCCATCCGAAAGGATGATGAAGTTCAGGTGTGTATCCCTACTTGTTCTCGTTGTCTTGATGGATATTTTACGCACTTAGCTTAGAAGAGAGATTGCATTCCTGAGAAAGATGCTTCTGAGACTCTTGCTCCCAAAGAGTGGCAAGATGAGTTGAGCCAGGGACCAAAAAACAGTAAGTAAGCTGCTTTTCAGTTTTTAATTGTATTATTTGGTGAAAATCTTTTTTTTTTTTTTTTTTGAGATGAAGTCTCGCTCTTGTCCCCCCCAGGCTGGAGTGCAGTGGTGCCATCTCAGCTCACTGCAACCTTCGCCTCCCGGGTTCAGGCGATTCTCCTGCCTCAGCCTCCCGAGTAGCTGGGATTACAAGCGCCCGCCACCACGGCTCGGCTAATTTTTGTGTTTTTAGTAGAGGCGGGGTTTCACCATGTTGGGCAGGGTGGTCTCGAACTCATGGCGTCAGGTGATCAGCCCGCCTCAGCCTCCCAAAGTGCTGGGATTACAGGCGTGAGCCACCGCGCCCGGCTGAGATGGGGTCTCACTCTTACCCAGACTGGAGTGCAGTTGCGTGGTCATGGCTCTTGTGGGCTCAAGTGATGCTCCCATGTAGGACCTTTTTTTTGTTTCTGTAGAGAGGGGTCTCACTTTACTGCCCAGATTGGTCTCCAACTCCTGGGGATCCTGCCCGAAAATCAGTTTCCTCAAACGTCAGATGATGTGACCATAATTAGGTGACATAATCAGAACATTGCTTTGGGATTAATCCTTTTATCAATATATTGTGACTACCCAACAGGCTCATTTTGCCTGCTGTCCAGATAGAGCCGATTTATCTAGACAGGAATTGCAATAGAGAAAGAGTTTAATTCATGCAGAGCCAGAACGAGAGACCAGAGTTAACTACTCAAATCATTCTCCCGGAAAATTTAGGGATGGGAGTTTTTTTAAGGATAATTTGGCAGGTAGGGGGCCAGGGAGTGGGGCGTGTTGACAGGTCGTATCAGAGATGAAGGCATAGGGAGTTGAAGCTGTCTTCTTGCTCTGAGTTGGTTCCTGGATGGGGGCCACAAGATCAGATGAGCCAGTTTATTGATCTGGGTGGCACCAGCGGATCCATCAGTGCAGGGTCTGAAAAAAAAAAATCACACAAATCTTAGGCTTTACAGTGTGTTATCCCTAGGAGCAATTGGGGAAGCCTCTAGCTGCCTAAACTGTAATTTCTAGTCTTGCAGCTAATTTGTTAGCCTACAAAGGCAGTCTGGTACCCAGGCAAGAAGGGGGTTTGTTTCAGGAAAGCACTGTTAGCATCTTTGTTTCAAAGTTAACCTGTAGACTAAGTTCCTCCCAAAGTTAGTTTGGTCTATGCCCAGGAATGAACAAGGACATCTTGGAGGTTAGAAGCAAGATGGGAGTTAGGTCAGTTCTCTTTAACTGCTGTAATTTTCTCACTGTTGGCAATTTTTGGAAAGGAGGTTTCAATGTTTGGTCATTGAAGAGGCAGTTGAGGACCAGTAAACAGAATTGCTCCCAATCTAGATTCAGGAGCTGTAACTGAAGCACAGTCACGTTATCGTTTGCACTTACAGGTAAATAATTTGTTGCATCTATTTAGGTGAAGGTTTCTATAAATGACCCTTAGGTGTAATCTGTAGTGCAGCTAGTGATTAAAGAATTCAGGCAGTCTCTAAAGCCATTTACATACACACCATCAATATTTTTTCATGCCTATTTCAAAAAGATGAAATGGGTTCCCAAACAAGCAGTGTGGGTTGAGAACAGCCGTTGGTCCCTGCTGCAGTAGTGCTAAACTTGCCAGTAGACCTTGAAAACTGTCATCTCTGTTTTCAATACATACCAATGCAAGAAAGTCACAAACTGGGAAGAAGAATCTGTTCAGAAATACTTGTCCTCACAAACTGAGGACCACTGGGATTCCTGTCCACTAACCTTTGGGAAAGAATTGGTTTGTTCCGTTAAGCATTTGTTGCTGCCCTCTGACTAGCACTAGGTTGCACACATTAATGGGTTCAGATTTAAATACTCTTGGTCTGTTGCTGCTTTTGAGATGGAGTAACAGATTCCTTGTTGTCAACTTCTTACAGGTTGCCGAAGTGGGCTCTTTTTTTTAACCTTTTAATATAATGATAGGGTGAATGGTGTATGCATGAGTTTGTTTACTTGATTTACAAGGTTAATCTTTTATTCAAATATTTGTTACTTTTGAATTTGCTCTTAGGTTGTACGTGGACACTATAAAGGTCAGCAAATTGGCAAAGTAGTCCAGGTTTACAGGAAGAAATATGTTATCTACATTGAACGGGTGCAGCGGGAAAAGGCTAATGGCACAACTGTCCACGTAGGCATTCACCCCAGCAAGGTAGGTGTTTTTGAGAATGCTTGAGAGAAGGAAATTATGGCAATTATTGTTGACATGATTGTTTACAGAGCAAGGCCATAGAAATAGTCCTTGATTTTACATGTGCTGGAAAAAAACATTTTAAAGTAAATACTACTGCACTTGTATTGAAAATTCTAATACCATTTAAAATGTTTCTGACATCAAAGTGTTAACGGTCATTATGTTTCTGTTAGTTTGTTTTTGAGACAGTCTTGCTCTTTCACCCAGGCCGGAGTGCAGTGGCACAATCTCGGCTCACTGCAGCCTCCACCTCCCAAGTGCAAGCGATTCTCCCGCCTCAGCCTCCTGAGTGTAGCTGTGACTACATGCGTGCACCACTACACCCGGCTAATTTTTGTACTTCTTAGTACAAAGTTTCACCATGTTGGCCAGGCTGGTCTTGAACTCCTGACCTCAGGTGATTTGCCTGCCTCAGCCTCCTAAAGTGCTGGGATTACAGGCATGAGCCACCATGCCTGTCCCATTATGTATATTGGGCGGAGGTTGCAGTGAGCCGAGATCGCACCATTGCACTTCAGCCTAGGCAACGAGTGAAAACGCCATCTCAAAAAAAAAAAAAGAAAAAAAATAAAGACCTTAACTGATCTTCCCTTACTTCTGACATCTTTTTCCATTCTATATGTTCTAGTCTGCTCGCCTCCTAGCAACTTGGTAGAATTATAAATTCTAAGAGCCCAGGCCTACTGAGGCAAAATTAGGGCTTATGACCCAGGTGTATGTTTTAATAAGCCCTCCAGTTGATTCTTACTCAAGTTTGAGAAACACATCTATGAAACTTGATAATCTCCTGCCTTTGAACCTTTCAACTTGCTGTTCTCTTCCAGATACCTGTGCATAGATAGATTGCTCACCACTTTAGGTCTCTGTTCAAATGTAGGGCTTTGCTTGATCACTCTAGAAAGCCCCTCGGCCTCCTCACACTTGCCTTCTTACTCTATCAAAGTGATGTAGATTCACTTGTAAATGTTTTCGGGCTCCCTATACTAGAATATGAGTTCAGTGACTGTGGAGATTTTTGTTTGGTCTGCATGCTGTATTTCCAGCACCTCTTTTCACCCTTTCCTCGCATTCATAAGACTAAAATTTATCATAATTTGGATGTCTTTTAGGATTGGAACTGTTGGAGTAAGATCGTATTGTCATCTTCTCACTAAAGATTTTGCAGGTGGAATTATGTGTGGATGCTACCTTTAATTTCTAGCATTAAAATTCTGAAGTTACTTTATTATTTTTCTGTTTGGGGGTGGGGTTTTTTTTGTTTTGGACAGAGTTTTGCTCTTGTCGCCCAGCCTGGAAGTGCAATGGTGCGATCTCAGCTCACTGCAACCTCTGCTTCCTGGGTTCAAGCGATTCTCCCGCAGTAGCCTCCTGAGTAGGCATTCACCACACCCTGCTGTTTTGTTACTTGTTTGTTTTTTGAGATGGAGTCTCGATTGATCGCCCAGGCTGGAGTGCAATAATAGCACCATCTCAGCTCACTGCAGCCTCCGCCCCCCCAGGGTTCCAGAGATTCTCCTGCCTCAGCCTCCCAGGTAGCTGGGATTACAGGCATGTGCCACCATACCCAGCTAATTTTTGTATTTTTAGTAGAGAAGGGGTTTCACCGTGTTGGCCAGACTGGTCTCAAACTCCTGACCTCAGGTGATCCGCCTGCCTCTGCCTCCCAAAGTGCTGGGATTGGGGGCATGAACCACCGCACCCAGCCTGAAGTTACTTTGGAAACAAATATATTTGTATATGACAGCTTGTAAAACTGTAGTGAGAAGAGCAGAATCATATATTTCTCAGTGAAAAAGAAACAAATCTTATAATGAAGCACAGAAGAGGCTTTAAGAATTACTGATACCATCTTGCCTTTTCTCCTTTGTTGGTAGGAAATTAGTAAATAAGCCAGGTTTGATGGCTAAAGAGTGATTTCTGGAGTTTTTTAAAAGTTAAAATCTTTTCTTATTAGGCATCCACCTACCCCAGGTTTGGGAAATGGTATTGAATGTTGGGCTTTCCCTTGTGTTTTAGTGATTATTTAAAGCTTGGGAGTGTTTTTTTCTTATTTTTCTGCAGGTGGTTATCACTAGGCTAAAACTGGACAAAGACCGCAAAAAGATCCTCGAACGGAAAGCCAAATCTCGCCAAGTAGGAAAGGAAAAGGGCAAATACAAGGAAGAAACCATTGAGAAGATGCAGGAATAAAGTAATCTTATATACAAGCTTTGATTAAAACTTGAAACAAAGAGCCTGTGTTTTGTGTGTGGTGATTTAGGACACTCCCTAGTTTTCAGTGGATCAGTCTCTTACCTCTGATTTGTTGGTCTAAAATTTTTCTGAAATCAGGACTGATGAGATTTTTTTTATAGTGGGCAGCAGCATTTGAGGATATATCAGAAGCTGGAGGGGTGTCATTGAGAAGAAGAAGGCCTACAAGAAAAGCTAGTTGGAAACACTTCCTCTTGAACCTGTCTTTTAACTTGCTTACTATGGATAGGTTGCTATATGGACAGGCTATATTTTTTACCTTACTGCGTAAAAGTTTGTATTGCCATTGGATAGGAAGTCTTGCTTTCAATAGGATAAGAAGCTTCTGTGACTTTATAGCTTCTAGATGACTTCTTCAAGCTGTTCCTCCAGATTGAGAGGTCTCGGGTTCAGGTTATCTGATAGACCCATGGGCCCCCTTTACCTTGTTTTCTGCACAAGTGCTGGATGAGTGCCATCAAACCAAAACCTAACACGTCTTTGAGTTAAAATATAAACTAAACTGCAGCTTCGTCAGGATGAAGTGAAAAGGTGTGAGGTGGCAGCAGTGTGTGTGCTCCTGCCGTTCCTCATTTTAAGCATCTAAACAGGACACCTGAAGCCCGTTTACTTTCCAGGCTGGAGACTTGGCAACAACGTGGGAATGGGGAACGGGCCCGAGTTAAGTCACTGGCTTAGCCAAGGTCACAGCTGGCATCTGGGTGAACAGCGCTGCACGGTGTCCGCGGTGCCTCTAGGGGGCGGGGCTTCCGGCTGGCGCTGACCGGCTTCCGGCGGAGCGGGCGGGAGGTGGGGCGGAGTTGCTGCTCGGGGGCCTCTGGGTGGAGGGGGATTCAGACGCCGCGTCTGGTGTGTCCCTTTCTCCTTCCTGACCTTCCTCAGTCTGCAGCTCTTTTCTCCACCGCGCGCCCGCCTCAGCCGTTCAGCCCTGAGCTGGCGGGTGGACGGGCATGGATCCAGGCGGTGGGAGCAGTCTGCGAAGTCAGGGTAGGAAGGCTACACAAAGGAGGCGACATCCCAGCCCGGTCCTCAGGAATAAGCGGGCGTGCCCGTGTGGTGTGGACGGTGAGGGGACACTGTATTAAGTGCCTTATCTGCATTATCATTGAATCTTCATAGCAATCGATTGTGATGGGTACTGGTCATCTCCCCGGGTTGTAGATGAGGAAACTGAGGCCTCAGTAACTTTGCTTTAGTCAGTAAATGATAAGAGTCAGCAAATGAATTCCCAAGCGTAGACTCGGCCGTACCGCTGCTCTACCTTGCTAATAACGACCTACCTGTAAGCGACATTTTTGACAAAATGTCCTTTAAACATCTTTTGTGCTCAGCTCTGTATTCGTGGGCCCTCCAAAGGGGGTACAGGCAGGTAGAAGCCTCCGTCCCTACCTTATAGGTTGTATATATCTGAACTGGTCGACTAAAGATGCAAAGCGAAGTGCTCCAGTGAGTGTGGTACAGGTTGTTGAGATGAAGGAGAGATGGCAATCAGCTAAAGTTACTGAATACGTCAGGAAGGAGGCTGGTTTCAGCTGGCTGTGATTGGGAGGATCAATGCGAGGACATTCCGAGTCGGAAACAGCCAAGGCGAAGACTCACAGGTGGGTGAAGGGAGTAAACATGGCTTTGGAAATATTTCCAGTTTTCTCTGACCAACTCGTTTATCACCTAGCCGTCACATAGATCACACCAAGAAGCTGATTGATTTACGGTCACATTTCTTTCATGTTGCTTTGGAAAAGATACTGAAGCCTCGGGCAACATAATGAGACCCCGTCTCTACAAAAAAAAAAAAAAAAGAAAGAAAAGAAAAAATTAGCTGGGTCTGGTGACGCATGCCTGTAGTCCCAGCTACTTGGGAGGCTGCGGTAGGAGGATGCCTTGACCCTGGGAGCCGTGATCATGCCACTGTACTCTAGCCTGGGTGACAAAGTGAGACCCTACCCTCTCAAAAAAAAAAAAAATGAAAGAAAAAAGATATTGAAAGCTTAGAAATGTGCAGGAGTGGGCAAGTAAGATGAATAGGTTAGTAGGTCCCGACGTCCTGGGCTGCGTGCAGCCCACAGGCCACAGGTTGGACAAGCTTGATCCAAAGGAAGATGCCGCCTCTCCATCACAGCCAGTTATTGCCAGGCAGCAATGCCGCCAGTGCAGCCAGAATGTTGCCTTTTCAAGAAAGCCAGAAATCGAGGCTGGGTGCAGTGGCTCACGCCTGTAATCCCAGCACTTTGGGAGGCAGAGGCGGGTGGATCACGAGGTCAGGAGATCGAGACCATCCTGGCTAACACGGTGAAACCCCATCTCTAGTAAAAATACAAAAAATTAGCTGGGCCTGGTGGCAGGTGCCTGTAGTCCCGGCCACTCGGGAGGCTGAGGCAGGAGAATGGCGTGAACCCGGGAGGCGGAGCTGGCAGTGAGCCGGGATCGCGCCACTGCACTCCAGCCTGGATGACAGAGCAAAACTCTGTCTCAAAAAAGAAAGAAATCGAGATTTATGTGAAATCTCCCAATCTGTAAATATAGGTGAAACATTGAATTTTTTTTTTTTTTTTTTTTTTTTTTTGTGACAGAGTCTGGCTCTGTCGCCCAGGCTGGAGTGCGGAGGCACGATCTCGGCTCACTGCAAGCTCCACCTCCCGGGTTCATGTCATCCTCCTGCCTCAGCCTCCTGGGACTACAGGCGCTCGCCACCATGCCCAGCTAATTTTTTGTATTTTTGGTAGAGACGGGGTTTCCTCGTGTTAGCCAGGATGGTCTCGATCTCCTGACCTTGTAATCCGCCCACCTCCGCCTCCTAAAGTGCTGGGGTTACAGGTGTGAGCCCCCACGCCCGGCCGAATCATTCAATTTTTTTTTTTTTTTTTTTTTTTTTAGTATTTATTGATCATTCTTGGGTGTTTCTCAGAGAGGGGGATTTGGCACGGTCATAGGACAATAGTGGAGGGAAGGTCAGCAGATAAACATGTGAACAAGGGTCTCTGGTTTTCCTAGGCAGAGGACCCTGCGGCCTTCCGCAGTGTTTGTGTCCCTGGGTACTTGAGATTAGGGAGTGGTGATGACTCTTAGCGAGCATGCTGCCTTCAAGCATCTGTTTAACAAAGCACATCTTGCACTGCCCTTAATCCATTTAACCCTGAGTGGACACAGCACATGTTTCAGAGAGCACGGGGTTGGGGGTAAGGTTATAGATTAATAGCATCCCAAGGCAGAAGAATTTTTCTTAGTATAGAACAAAATGGAGTCTCCTATGTCTACTTCTTTCTACACAGACACAGTAACAATCTGATTTCTCTTTCTTTTCCCCACATTTCCCCCTTTTCTATTCGACACAACCGCCATCGTCACCATGGCCCGTCCTCAATGAGCTGTTGGGTACACCTCCCAGACGGGGTGGCGGCCCGGCAGAGGGGCCCCTCACTTCCCAGACGGGGCGGCCGGCCGGGCGGGGGCTGCCCCCCACCTCCCTCCCGGACGGGGCGGCTGGCCAGGCAGGGGCTGCCCCCCACCTCCTGGATGGGGCGGCTGCAGGGTGGAGATGCTCCTCACTTCCCAGACGGGGCGGCTGCCGGGCGGAGGGGCTCCTCACTTCTCAGACGGGGCGGCTGGGCAGAGACGCTCCTCACCTCCCAGACGGGGTGGCGGTCGGGCAGAGACACTCCTCAGTTCCCAGACGGGGTCACGGCCGGGCAGAGGCGATCCTCACATCCCAGACGGGGCGGCGGGGCAGAGGCGCTCCCCACATCTCAGACGATGGGCGGCTGGGCAGAGACCCTCCTCACTTCCCAGACGGGATGGCGGCCGGGAAGAGGCTCCTCACTTCCCAGACTGGGCGGCCGGGCACAGGGGCTCCTCACATCCCAGACGATGGGCGGCCAGGCAGAGACGCTCCTCACTTCCCAGACGGGGTGGCAGCCGGGCAGAGGCTACAATCTCGGCACTTTGGGAGGCCAAGGCAGGCAGCTGGGAGGTGGAGGTTGTAGGGAGCCGAGATCACGCCACTGCACTCCAGCCTGGGCAACATTGAGCACTGAGTGAGCGAGACTCCATCTGCAATCCCGGCACCTCGGGAGGCCGAGGCAGGCAGACCACTCGCGGTCAGGAGCTGGAGACCAGCCCGGCCAACACGGCGAAACCCCATCTCCACCAAAAAATACAAAAACCAGTCAGGCATGGCGGCGCCTGTGGGCAATCCCAGGCACTCGGCAGGCTGAGGCAGGAGAATCAGGCAGGGAGGTTGCAGTGAGCCGAGATGGCGGCAGTACAGTCCAGCCTCGGCTTGGCATCAGAGGGAGACCGTGGAGAGAGAGGGAGAGGGAGACCGTGGAGACGGAGACGGAGACGGAGACGGAGAGAGGGAGAGAGGGAGAGGGAGACCGTGGAGACGGAGATGGAGAGAGGAAGAGGGAGACAAATTTTTTTAAAATCACTAGATGGACCAACCAAAATAGGTCTATTAGATAATTGTAGACCCTGGACTCTACTGTAGAATTTCATGGTATAGTAAGGACTGTACCTCTACTAAAGACTGAGATTCTACATCTTTTGATTATAAATTGTTTCTAGCCTGTTGCCTTCATTCTTTTTTTTCTTTTTTTTATTTTTAGAGACAGGGTCTCACTATGTTGACTAGGTTGGTCTTGAACTCCTGGCCTCAAGCAATCCTCTCACCTTGGCCTACCAAAGTGTTAGGATTACAGGCATGAGCCACCATGCCCAGTTGCCTTCATTATTTTATAGAATGAAGATGAGGCTTTTCCTTCCTTTGCGGTCCCCTGAAGGGACTCAAATAACAACCAACACAGCACTCAGGTTCTGAGAGACGCTGGTTTCAGAAAGGAATCTGGAAGGTGCTTTTTCTGGATTCCATTGAATACCTTGTGGTTTCAAGTCTGTTAGAACTAGTAGGACCGGCTGGGTGTGCTGGCTCACACCTGTAATTCCAACACTTTGGGAGGCCAAAACGAGCAGATCACTTGAGGCTAGAAGTTCGAGGACCAGCCTGGCCAGCATGGCAAAACCTCACTTTGGGAGGCTGAGGCAGGTGGATCACTAGAGCCCAGGAGTTCGAGACCGGCCTGGGTTTTTTGCAACATGGCAAAACCCCATCTCTATAAAAAAATACAAAAAAAGAAAAAGAATGAAAATGCATATTTTTCACATTTTAAATTTTGGATGTGTCTTATCAATACATTCATTTAATACACACTGTTTTTCCTCTCAAAAGAAAGTTGTTATTAAGTTAGTGATTTACAATCAGTAATGTCTTAGAATCAGGAATATTCATGATTAACTAGCAATGCTGAGGAAGGGAGTTTGAAGCCCTTTTAGTGAAGGACCTTCCGGACCTGGAAGCAGGCCCCACTTAACTGAGACTCTTGCTCAGAGCCTTTAAAAGTTTCCATCTTTCTCTGCTTCTCAGGATTCTGCCCTGCCCCTCCGCTCTGCATCTGACAGCTGGGATCTCGGGATCCTGTTTTCCTAAGCTTGCTGGAATTCCTGCAGTCCTCATGTGAACTCCCCTGGCCTCATCACCATCCTGTCTTACGGCTGTTCTGACTAAGGAATCCCAGTTTAGACAACTGAGTATCAAGTTCTCTCCCTAAGGAATTATCTGATCACAGTGGCAGGTAGACTCCATTTGGGGTATCTCTTTTCTGCAGGATAATCTCCTGACATATCTTTATGTACACAGATATAATATTTCCATTGGAAACAGATCCTGCCACCCCTGTTAGGAGTCATCAAGCCTGCGCCCAAGTTCACTTGGACTCTGCTTTATTCTGGAAAGATTAATAAATGGGCTACAGCTCTGGCAGCGTCAAAACTGGCCAGACCAACAGACCTCCCAGGAAAGCAAAACTCCTTTCCCTCATCCATGAAGCTGTACTCATCTTGTTAGATGTGAGACCTATTTCTTATTTCTTCCATTTATTCACCTGACTCGCTTTCAGAGTCCTTTATGCTGCATGCCTTCATTCCTGGTGCCCTCTCTTGTCTCTTCCCCAGTCCTGCTGAAGCTGCTCTTTAGCCCAGGCCCCAAGACTATATGGTCCCTGTGGCAGCAGCCAATGTTGTTTCAGGAAGCAACAGCATTTGAAAATATGACCAAAGATTGGAATTATTTAGAAGGCTCTCAAAAGGATTGCTACAGAGACACAATGCTGGACAGTTATGAGAACACGGTCCCACAGGGTAAGGGCTCAGAATCTTCCTTTATTAATCTTGTGGACAATTGTCAAGGGGAAACCGTCATTTAAAAATATCCCCACAGCTTTCTTCTCGATTCCCCAAGATAAGGACAGACTCCTCAGCCATAAGAAATTTTTTTTTTTTGAAACAGTCTCGCTTTGTCGCCCAGGCTGGAGTGCAGTGGTATAATCTCGGCTCACTGCAACCTCCACCTTCCAGGTTCAGGCAGTTCTCCCTGCCTCAGTCTCCCGAGTAGCTGGGATTACAGGCTCCTGCCACTACACCTGGCTAAATTTTGTATTTTTAGTAGAGATGGGGTTTCACCCTGTTGGCCAGGCTGTTCTTGAACTCCTGACCTCAAGTGATCCGCCCACCTCGCCCTCCCAAAGTGCTGGGATTACAGGCGTGAGCCACTGTGCTTGGCCAAGAAATTGTTTCTGTTGATCATGGGAAGGCTCAGAAGCAATCCCTGGTACAAATTTCAGTTTAAGAGTTTGCTGTTATTATGTGGTACCTTTTAGCAACGTTCTCCCATTTATATTATTTTAAAGGGTACTGAGGGTAAGATTTTAGCCTACTGCCTTAGGAGTTTCTGTTTATCCTCTCTCCTATTCAGTTAATAAAAACCAGTTGATTAGGTTTCTTGCTATAAGCTAATGACTTCATTGTTTTTGCTGTTTGCCTAAAGTCTAAAACCTCTACATATTTGTGATCTTTACTGATGTCAAATTCTGTTGCTATGCTGTGGTTTTGGATGGTGCTAGTTGGCTTTCTAGTTGCTTTTTAACTATTATTCTATTATCATTCTTCCATATAATCATCTTCAAAAATTAGATGAAAGAATTGATGAGGAACTTTAGAGGGAAAGTCTTCCAGGTGGGAGTGTCAGTGAATTTAACTTTGTTCTCTTTTCTTCCTTTCTTAGGATCCTTCTTACAGCTCTCCATGATGCCTCAGAGAGCTGGAAATGATCCACCTGGGGTTTCAAATGCAAGTGAAATGGAAATGGAGATAAGTAACATGAGAGAAAAGTTTCTTATGAGTGTAACAAAGTTAGTAGAAAGCAAAAGTTACAACAGCAAGGTATTTTCCAAAGAAAAGTACTTTCAAACAATAAAGGAAGTTAAAGAAGCTAAAGAAAAAGGGAAGAAGTCATCACGTGATTATCGCCGTGCAGCAAAATATGATGTGATCTCTGTACAGGGCACAGAGAAACTGATAGAGGCTACTCATGGAGAACGTGATCGAATACGGTATTATGTACATAAGGAAGAGTTGTTTGATATTCTTCATGATACACATCTCAGTATTGGACATGGTGGGCGGACACGCATGCTCAAGGAGCTGCAAGGAAAATATGGGAATGTCACCAAAGAAGTTATTGTCTTATATCTGACTCTGTGTAAACAGTGC